>NC_000005.10:162731020-163034051 GCF_000001405.40 Homo sapiens
ATTTATTTTTTTTTTTTTTGAGACGGAGTCTTGCTCTGTCACCCAGGCTGGAGTGCAGTGGCGCCATCTTGGCTCACTGCAACCTCCACCTCTCCCAAGTTCAAGTGATTCTACTCAGCTTCCCAAGTAGCTGGGACTACAGGTGCACACCACCACACCCAGCTAATTTTTGTATTTTTAGTAGAGACAGGGTTTCACTATATTGGCCAGGCTGGTCTCGAACTCCTGACCTTGTGATCTTCCTGCCTCAGCCTCCCAAAGTGCTGGGATTACAGGTATGAGCCACCGCACCCAGACTACATACTCATTCTAACCAGCACCACACTAGTTGCAATGCTTTCAGAATATAAAATATGCAGATGGATGAGGCTAGCCTGACACCTATTTAAGCAACTCAAAATGATTTTTAAACAGTAGTACATGAGCAACAAAGACAGAGAAAAATAAATTCTAGTTTCAGGTCTGGCAACAGCTTAAAAGGCAGCCTTGCATTCATAGCAGCAAGTTACTGCATCTTCATTAGTTTTTTTATCTTAAAAATAATGAGGAAGCTTTGACTACATCATTGGTTGTCAGATTGTGCACAGTGGAACTGACAAAGATGTTGGTTCCCTTAGGGAAGAGCTAACCAGAACAAGTAGACTTTTGGGCACTGAGTTCTGTTGTGACCAGAGAAGCATTGCATTTATTACCTGTTTAGGAAATACTGAGGTTCCACGTAAGATTTAATTTTAAAGTAGATTTCTGTGCATATACTGATAGATATATGATAAAGGATTTATAGTTAACATTTTAATGGTAGATTCTAGGTTCTTAGAATATGGTATTCACTCTAAAATTATTTCAAGTTTTCTCTAATTTGAAATTTTAAAGACTAAAATGTTGTTAAAAACATGGGTTCTACTAAAAAAGTTATAGAATCCTTTAGTGTACTGAAAGCTCTTAATAGCTCTTATGTCCTATAAATCAATGAAGTTTGTAATCTAGCATTTGTATTTTAGAAACAGTTGTTGACATAATACTAACGTATCGATATGTAAATTATTGAGTAATTATTGAATCTACATAATCTTATAGAGGACTACATGCAGCTTTAAGGCAGAAATGCTCTTATTTTTTTCTAGGTTAACAGTTATCAGCACAAGAACGAGCTCAAAAGAGTCACGTACACGGTGTGTGTGTGTGTGTGTGTGTGTGTGTGTGATTTTCAATAAAAGAGTAAAGAGATGGCATAATAGTCTTTCAGAATTTTGCTCCTTAGTTCAACTAAAACCAGATTCCTGTCACACAACCAGGAAAGATTAGCAACGTGGACACCTGCAGGGTGAGTAGAGTGGAATACATTGGGTGAAAAGAAAAAAAGAAAAAATAAACTCTCAGCAAAATGAGAGGAGGTTCTTCAAACAGGCCCCCACCTCACAGACTGATTCCAGACCACCACACCAGAGCTGAAGAGGCCAGGCTCCTCCCCCTTGCACAAGGCCCTTGCACATTGCTCTACCTTGTTCTCCCAGTGTGCACGCAGGTGGGAGATTCTCCAGGGGCCCTCTCCTTTATCTGCCTCTTGCATCTTTCTCTGATGATGCAATTTCACTTTAGTCAGTATCAAGAACCTGTTACTATTATGTCCTCAAAATCATTTCATACATTTGAGTTTACGAGGTAGATTTTGCACTTGTGCAATATTCTTTCATTTCTCCTCTTTTGAAGATGTTAAAAATAATAATAATAATGCAAGACAGAGTAAGAGCAGTCTGAGTTAGGCAAAGTGAAACCACCATTGCAAAACTGTAACTGAGACAGTGAAAGAGATCTGACCTAACCACCTCAATCTTGCTTCTAGCCTTCAAGCTGTTGTCCTTGTTCATTCCTGGGCATAGGGTGAACTAACTTTGGGAGGAACCCAGGAACTGACTCAGTGGCAAGAAGACTGTTACCACTCACTACAATTTCCATCTCTGACCTGACCAATCAGCACTCCCGGCTCACTGGCATCCCCACACCCACCAAGTTACAGAGAACGCCACAATGATACTCCTCGAGAATAGCAACTCCAAGACACATAATTGTCAGATTCACCAAAGTTGAAATGAAGGAAAAAATGTTAAGGGCAGCCAGAGAGAAAAGTCGGGTTACCCACAAAGGGAAGCCCATCAGACTAACAGCGGATCTCTCAGCAGAAACTCTACAAGCCAGAAGAGAGTGGGGGCCAATATTCAACATTCTTAAAGAAAAGAATTTTCAACCCAGAATTTCATATCCAGCCAAACTAAGCTTCATAAGTGAAGGAGAAATAAAATACTTTACAGACAAGCAAATGCTGAGAGATTTTGTCACCACCAGGCCTGCCTTACAAGAGCTCCTCAAGGAAGCACTAAACATGGAAAGGAACAACCGCTACCAACCACTGCAAAATCATGCCAAATTGTAAAGGCCATCGACGCTAGGAAGAAACTGCATCAACTAACGAGCAAAATAACCAGCTAACATCATAATGACAGGATCAAATTCACACATAACAATATTAACTTTAAATGTAAATGGACTAAATGCTCCAATTAAAAGACACAGATTGGCAAATTGGATAAAGAGTCAAGTCCCATCAGTGTGCTGTATTCAGGAAACCCATCTCACATGCAGAGACACACATAGGCCCAAAATAAAAGGATGGAGGAAGATCTACCAAGCAAATGGAAAACAAAAAAAAGGCAGGGGTTGCAATCCTAGTCTCTGATAAAACAGACTTTAAACCAACAAAGATCAAAAGAGACAAAGAAGGCCATTACATAATGGTAAAGGGATCAATTCAACAAGAAGAGCTAACTATCCTAAATATATATGCACCCAATACAGGAGCACCCAGATTCATAAAGCAAGTCCTTAGTGACCTACAAAGAGACTCAGACTCCCACACAATAATAATGGGAGACTTTAACACCTCACTGTCAACATTAGACAGATCAACGAGACAGAAAGTTAACAAATATACCCAGGAATTGAACTCAGCTCTGCACCAAGCGGACCTAATAGACATCTACAGAACTCTGCACCCCAAATCAATAGAATATACATTTTTTTCAGCACCACACCACACCTATTCCAAAATTGACCACATAGTTGGAAGTAAAGCACTCCTCAGCAAATGTAAAACAACAGCAATTATAACAAACTGTCTCTCAGACCACAATGTAATCAAACTAGAACTCAGGATTAAGAAACTCACTCAAAACCGCTCAACTACATGGAAACTGAACAACCTGCTCCTGAATGACTACTGGGTACATAACGAAATGAAGGCAGAAATAAAGATGTTCTTTGAAAACAACGAGAACAAAGACACAACATACCAGAATCTCTGGGTCACATTCAAAGCAGTGTGTAGAGGGAAATTTATAGCACTAAATGCCCACAAGGGAAAGCAGGAAAGATCTAAAATTGACACCCCAACAGCACAATTAAAAGAACTAAAAAAGCAAGAGCAAACACATTCAAAAGCTAGCAGAAGGCAAGAAATAACTAAAATCAGAGCAGAACTGAAGGAAATAGAGACACAAAAAACCCTTCAAAAAATTAATGAATCCATGAGCTGGTGTTTTGAAAGGATTGACAAAACTGATAGACCGCTAGCAAGACTAATAAAGAAGAAAAGAGAGAAGAATCAAATAGACGCAATAAAAAACGATAAAGGGGATATCACCACCGATCCCACAGAAATATAAACTACCATCAGAGAATACTACAAACACCTCTATGCAAATAAACTAGAAAATCTAGAAGAAATGGATAAATTCCTTGACACATACACCCTCCCAAGACTAAACCAGGAAGAAGTTGAATCTCTGAATAGACCAATAACAGGCTCTGAAATTGTGGCAATAATCAATAGCTTACCAACCAAAAAGAGTCCAGGACCAGATGGATTCACAACCGAATTCTACCAGAGGTACAAGGAGGAACTGGTACCATTCCTTCTGAAACTATTCCAATCAATAGAAAAAGAGGGAATCCTCCCTAACTCATTTTATGAGGCCAGCATCATCCTGATACCAAAGCCTGGCAGAGACACAACCAAAAAAGAGAATTTTAGACCAATATCCTTGATGAACATTGATGCAAAAATCCTCAATAAAATACTGGCAAACCGAATCCAGCAGCACATCAAACAGCTTATCCACCATGATCAAGTGGGCTTCATCCCTGGGATGCAAGGCTGGTTCAATATATTCAAATCAATAAATGTAATCCAGCATATAAACTGAACCAAAGACAAAAACCACATGATTGTCTCAATAGATGCAGAAAAGGCCTTTGACAAAATTCAACAACGCTTCATGTTAAAAACTCTCAATAAATTAAGTATTGATGGGACGTATCTCAAAATAATAAGAGCTATCTATGACAAATGCACAGCCAATATCATACTGAATGGGCAAAAACTGGAAGCATTCCCTTTGAAAACTGGCACAAGACAGGGATGCCCTCTCTCACCACTCCTATTCAACATAGTGTTGGAAGTTCTAGCCAGGGCAATCAGGCAGGAGAAGGAAATAAAGGGTATTCAATTAGGAAAAGAGGAAGTCAAATTGTCCCTGTTTGCAGATGATATGATTGTATATCTAGAAAACCCCACTGCCTCAGCCCAAAATCTCCTTAAGCTGATAAGCAACTTCAGCAGTCTCAGGATACAAAATCAATGTATAAAAATCACAAGCATTCTTATACACCAATAACAGACAAACAGAGAGCCAAATCATGAGTGAACTCCCATTCACAATTGCTTCAAAGAGAATAAAATACCTAGGAATCCAACTTACAAGGGACATGAAGGACCTCTTCAAGGAGAATTACAAACCACTGCTCAGTGAAATAAAAGAGGATACAAACAAATGGAAGAACATTCCATGCTCATGGGTAGGAAGAATCAATATTGTGAAAATGGCCATACTGCCCAAGGTAATTTATAGATTCAATGTCATCCCCATCAAGCTACCAATGACTTTCTTCACAGAATTGGAAAAAACTACTTTAAAGTTCATATGGAACCAAAAAAGAGCCTGCATCGCCAAGTCAATCCCAAGCCAAAAGAACAAAGCTGGAGGCATCATGCTACCTGACTTCAAACTATTCTACAAGGCTACAGTAACCAAAACAGCATGGTACTGGTACCAAAACAGAGATATAGACCAATGGAACAGAACAGAGCCCTCAGAAATAATGCCGCATATCTACAACTATCTGAGCTTTGACAAACCTGACAAAAACAAGCAATGGGGAAAGGATTCCCTATTTAATAAATGGTGCTGGGAAAACTGGCTAGCCATATGTAGAAAGCTGAAACTGGATCCCTTCCTTACACCTCATACAAAAATTAATTCAAGATGGATTAAAAACTTAAATGTTAGACCTGAAACCATAAAAACCCTAGAAGAAAACCTAGGCATTACCATTCAGGACATAGGCATGGGCAAGGACTTCATGTCTAAAACACCAAAAGCAATGGCAAAATTGACAAATGGGATCTAATTAAACTAAAGAGCTTCTGCACAGCAAAAGAAACTACCATCAGAGTGAACAGGTAACCTACAAAAATGGGAGAAAATTTTCGCAACCTACTCATCTGACAAAGGGCTAATATCCAGATTCTACAATGAACTCAAACAAATTTACAAGAAAAAAACAAACAACCCCATCAAAAAGTGGGCGAAGGACATGAACAGACACTTCTCAAAAGAAGACATTTATGCAGCCAAAAAACACATGAAAAAATGCTTACCATCACTGGCCATCAGAGAAATGCAAATCAAAACCACAATGAGATACCATCTCACACCAGTTAGAATGGCAATCATTAAAAAGTCAGGAAACAACAGGTGCTGGAGAGGATGTGGAGAAATAGGAACACTTTTACACTGTTGGTGGGACTGTAAACTAGTTCAACCATTGTGGAAGTCAGTGTGGCGATTCCTCAGGGATCTAGAACTAGAAATACCATTTGACCCAGCCATCCCATTACTGGGTATATACCCAAAGGACTATAAATCACGCTGCTATAAAGACACATGCACACGTATGTTTATTGCGGCACTATTCACAATAGCAAAGACTTGGAACCAACCCAAATGTCCAACAATGATAGACTGGATTAAGAAAATGTGGCACATATACACCATGGAATACTATGCAGCCATAAAAAACGATGAGTTCATGTCCTTTGTAGGGACATGGATGAAATTGGAAATCATCATTCTCAATAAACTATCGCAAACACAAAAAACCAGACACCGCATGTTCTCACTCATAGATGGGAATTGAGCAATGAGAGCACATGGACAAAAGAAGGGGAACATCACACTCCGGGGACTGTTGTGGGGTGGGGGCAGCGGGGAGAAATAGCATTAGGAGATATGCCTAATGCTAAATGACGAGTCAACGGGTGCAGCCCACCAGCATGGCACATGTATACATATGTAACTAACCTGCACATTGTGGACATGTACCCTAAAACTTAAAGTATAATAATAAAATAAAATAAAAGTTGTCTTTAAAAGCTCTGATCCCTTAATGCTCCAGGAGACTGATTTGGGTAATAATAAAACTCCAGTCTCTTGCAGAGCTGGCTCTGCATGCATTACTCTTTTTTTATTGCAATCCCCATGTCTTGATAAATCAGGTCTGTCTAGGCAGCAGGCAAGTGAAGCCATTGGCAGGTACAAAAGTACTCACCAAAGAAAGCTCTGTCAGCTATTTAAGGCATCACTTCAGCAAGGTACACAACTAATTGTCATCCTAATGTCTTGAACACTTTGCAGTGATTAGCAAATCCCTCTCTCCACCAAGTCTGGTGAACAGGGACAGCTTTTTTTCTTTCCTTTTTCAAAACATTATCAGATTCCATTTAATCTCAGAATGTCAGTCTTTGAAGACTTGGGATATAATTCAGGTTATCTAGGTCTGGCATTTGTTACAAACACTGATTTACCTGTGTCCAATGGCAAAGAGATAGGGATATTAATTCTTTTATGAGTATTCCTTAAGGACATCTTAGAAAAGCCATTTGCTACAATATATATCAATACAGGAAATAATGAACGAAAACCTGATGTTCTAATATTCATACTGAAAAACTAACAAAATATACAAAAGATTTTTATGTTTGTTTCACAGATTATAGAGCCAAGTATTCAGATATTTCAATTAATATTAGCTGCATTTCATGACAATGACAGCAGGAGGTTACGAGCAGTTTCATCCGTGATCTGCTGATACATTAGTGAGTAAATTATGTCTCCTCAAATGGCTTCTGCTAAGTGAGTAAACATGCAGGGAATTTTACTTTTGTTCAAATGGAATTTTCTTCCATACTTTAATGACTTTTAGATGGTCTATGTTCATTTTACTTGTTAATTACAGTCTTGTGCACACTGAAGCTGATGAAACTGTGATGCATTCATATTAGGAACAAGTAGTGTATTTCCAAATGGCTTCACTAATGAGAAGGTAGTTCACCTACATAGCAAATCAGAGTTTCAAACAGCCAGCTAAGAGAGGTTATACCCCGATTCACTATGGTTTTCCAAATGGCTTCACTAATGAGAAGGCAGTTCACCTATATAGCAAATCAGAGTTTCAAACAGCCAGCTAAGAAAGTATATACCCTGATTCACTATGGTTTGGCAGTCACTAACCACTGTGTTTTAATAAGGAGATAAAGAATGACTAACTGAATGCTTATTTCACACCAGGAACTACAATAAATGTTTCACCTGTTGTATTTTACAGAATTACAACAATCTTTTGAAGGAGATCATTTGTTCTTAATTTCAAAGATGAGGAAACTGAAAATTGACAAGGTAACCTGTTCAAAGTCACATAGCTGGGAAGTGACAAAGCTGGAATGCCACCCAGTGCTGTTTGACTCTAAGGCCCAAATATTTGACCACTGTGTTTGATGGTCCCTGTCCAATTACAGTTCACTATAATCCAGCACCAGACTGGATTGGAGGAAATTAATTTTCATCC
Organism: Homo sapiens; assembly: GCF_000001405.40. Classification (NCBI taxonomy): domain Eukaryota; kingdom Metazoa; phylum Chordata; class Mammalia; order Primates; family Hominidae; genus Homo; species Homo sapiens. The sequence continues at coordinate 162,739,040 of NC_000005.10, forward strand.
AGGACACTTTTGTTTGCAAAACAGTTCAGTTTTATGCAAACAAAAATTTGATGACCATCAAGGTACCAACTCTTATTGACATATTCTTTCTGAATTCTCTTAGCATGTGAAAGTGAAAATTGAAAATAAATATATTTTTGTTTCCAACTTTTATTCTAAGTTCAGAGGTACATGAGCAGGACGTCCAGGTTTGTTACGTAGGTAAATGTGTGCCATGGTGGTTTGCTGCACAAACCATCCTATCACCTAAAAATTAAGCCCAGCATCCACTAGCTATGTTGCCTGATGCTCTCCCTTTTCCCATCCCCCACCCTTCGACAGGCCCCAGTGTGTGTTGTTTCCCCCCACCATGTGTCTATATGTTCTCATCATTCAGCTCCCACTTATAAATGAAAACACATGGTATTTGGTTTTCTGTTCCTGCATTAGTTTGCTACTGATAATGGCCTCCAGCTCCATCCTGTCCCTGTAAAGGACATGATCTCATTCCTTTTTATGGCTGCATAGTATTCCATGGTACCTATGTACTACATTTTTTTAATCCTATCTATCATGGATGTGCATTTGGATTGATTACATGTCTTTGCTATTGTAAATAGTGCTGCAATAAACATACGTGTGCGTGTATCTTTATAATTTAACAATTTATATTCCTTTGGGTATATATGTAGTAATGGGATTGTTGGGTTGAATGGTATTTCTGCCTTTAGGTCTTTGAGGAATTGCCACACTGTCTTCCACAACAATTGAACTAATTTACACTCCCGCCAACAGTGTAAAAGTGTGCCTTTTTCTTCTTAACTTCACTAGCATCTGTTTTTTTTTTTTTATTTTTTAATAGTAGGCATTCTGAGTGGTGTGAGATGGTATCTCATTGTGGTTTTGATTTGCATTTCTCTAATAATCAGTAATGTTGAGCTTTTTTGATATGTTTGTTGGCCGCATGTATGTCTTCTTTTGAGAACTGTCTGTTGATGTCCTTTGCCCACTTTTTAGCAGGGTTGTTTTTTTGTTTCTTGTTAATGTAATTTCCTTATACATTCTGGACTTTAGATCTTTGTCAGATGCATAGTTTGTAAATATTTTCTCCTGTAGATTGTCTGTTAACTTTGTCGGTAGTTTCTTTTCCTCTACAGAAGCTGTTTCATTTAATTAGGTCCAATTTGTCAGTTTTTGTTTTTATTGCAATTGCTTTTGGCATCTTCATCATGAAATCTTTTCTGAGGCCTATGTTCAGAATGGTAGTTCCTAGATTATATTCTAGGGTTTTTATAATTTTAAGTTTTACATTTAAGTCTTTAATCTATCTTCAGTTGATTTTTATATATGTTGTAAGGAAGGGTCCAGCTTCAATTTTCTGTCTATGGCTAGCCAGTTATCCCAGTACCATTTATTAAATACACAGTCTTTTCCCATTGCTTACTTTCATCACCTTTGTCAAAGATCAGTTGGATGTGGGTGTGCAGCTTTATTTCTGGGCTATTTATTATGTTCCATTGGACTATGTGCCTGTTTTTATACCAGTATCATGCTGTTTTGGTTACTGTAGCCTTGTAGTATAAAGTTGGGTAACGTGATGGCTCTGGCATTGTTCTTTTTGTTTAGGATTGCCTTGGCTATTCGGGTTCTTTTGGTTTCATATGAATTTTAAAATAGTTTTTTTCTAATTCTGCAAAGAATGTCAATGGTAGTTTAAAGGGGATAGCATTGAATCTATAAATTGCTTTGAGCAGTATGACCATTCTCATGATATGATTCTTCCTATCCATAAGTACGGAATGTTTTTCTATTTGTTTGTGTCCTCTCTGATTTCTTTGAGCAGTGGTTTGCAGTTCTTGAAGATGTTCTTCACTTCTCTTCTTAGCTACATTCCTAAGCATGTTATTCTTTTTGTGACAATTGTGAATGGGAGATCATTTACTATTTGGCTCTCAACTTGCCTGTTGTTGGTGTATAAGAATGCTAGCAATTTTTGCACATTGATTTTTTTTTTTTTTTTTTTTTTTTTGAGACGGAGTCTCGCTCTGTCGCCCAGGCTGGAGTGCAGTGGCGCGATCTCGGCTCACTGCAAGCTCCGCCTCCCGGGTTCACGCCATTCTCCTGCCTCAGCCTCCCGAGTAGCTGGGACTACAGGCGCCCGCTACCACGCCCGGCTAATTTTTTGTATTTTTAGTAGAGACGGGGTTTCACCTTGTTAGCCAGGATGGTCTCGATCTCCTGACCTCGTGATCCGCCCGCCTCGGCCTCCCAAAGTGCTGGGATTACAGGCGTGAGCCACCGCGCCCGGCCACATTGATTTTTTTATCCTGAGACGTTGCTGACCTTGCTTATCAGCTTAAGAAGTTTTGGGGCTGAGATGATGGGGTTTTCTAGATGTAGGATCATATCATCTGCAAACAAAGATAGTTTCACTTCCTCTTTTCCTATCTAAATACCCCTTATTTGAATACCCCTTATTTCTTTTCCTTGCCTGATTGCCCTGGCCAGAACTTCCAATACTGTGTTGAATAAGCGTGGCAAGAGAGGACATCTTTGCCTTGTGTTGGTTTTCAAGGGGAATGCTTCATCTTTTGCCCATTCGGCATGATTTTGGCTGTGGGTTTGTCATATATGGGTCTTATTTTGGGGGGTTATGTTTCTTCAATACCTAGTTTATTGAGTGTTTTTAACGTGAAAAAGATGTTGGATTTTATCAAAGGCCTTTTCTGCATCTATTGAGACAATCGTGTTTTTTGTCTTTAGATCAGTTTATGTGATGAATCACACTTATTGATTTGCATATGTTGAACCAAACTAATATCCCGGGGATGAAGACAGCTTGATCGTGGTGGACAAGCTTTTTGATGTGCTGCTGGATTCAGCTTGCCAGTATTTTTTTTTTTTTTTTTTTGAGGATATTTGCATCAATGTTCATCAAGGATATTGGCCTGGAGTTTTCTTTTTTTGTTGTTGTATCTCTGCCAGGTTTTGGTATCAGGATAATGCTGGCCTCATAGAATGAGTTAGGGAAGAAAGAGTCCCTCTTTGTCAATTGTTTGGAATAGTTTCAACAGGAATGGTACCAGCTCTTCTCTGTAACTCTGGTAGAATTCAGCTGTGAATCCGTCTGGTCCTGGGCTATTTTTGATTAGTAGGCTATTTATTGGTGCCTCAATTTCAGAATTTGTTATTGGTCTATTCAGGGATTTAATTTCCTCCTGGTTAAGTCTTGGTGGGTGGATGTGTCCAGGAATTTATCAATTTCTTCTAAATTTTCTAGTTTATATACGTAGAGTTGTTTATAGTATTTTCTGATGGTTGTTTCTTTTTCTGTGGGGTCAGTGGTGATATATCCCTTATGACTTCTAATTGTGCCTGTTTGAATTTTCTCTCTTTTCTTCTTTATTAGTCTAGCTAGTAATCTATTTTTTTTTTTCCAAAAGTAACAAACAAAAACACTCCTGGATTTCTTGATCTTTTGAAGGGTTTTTCTTTTCTCTGTCTTCTCCAGTTCAGCTCTGATCTTGGTTATTTCTTGTTTTCTGCTAGCTTTGGGGTTCGTTTGCTCTTGGTTCTCTAATTGTTTTAGTTGTGATGTTAGGTTGTCAACTTGAGATATTTCTAGCTTTTTGATGTGGGCATTTAGTGCTATAAATTTCCCTCTTAACCCTGGTTTAGCTGAGTCCCAGAGATTATGGTAAATTGTATCTCTTTCCTCATTTGTTTCAAAGAGCATCTTGATTTCTGCCTTAATTTCATTATTTACCCAAAGGTAACTCAGGAGCAGGTTGTTCAATTTCCATGTAGTTGTATGGTTTTGAGTGAACTTCTTAAACTTGAGTTCTAATTTGATTGAGCTGTGGCCTGAGAGACTGTTTGTTATGATTTCAATACTGTTGCATTTGCTGAGAAGTGTTTTACTTCTGATTATGTGATCAATTTTAGAGTAACTGCTGTGTGGTGATGAGAAGAATGTATATTCTTTTGTTTTTGAGTGGAGAGTTCTATAGATATCTATCAGGTACACTTGTTCCAGAGCTGAGTTCAGGTCCTGAATATCTTTGTGAATTTTCTGTCTCAGTGAGCTAATACTGTCAATAGGGTGTTAAAGTCTCCACTATTATTCTGTGGCCATCTAAGTATCTTTGTAGGTCTCTAACAAATTGTGTTATGAATCTGGGTGTTCCTGTATTGAGTGCATATATATTTAGGATAGTTAGCTCTTCTCGTTGAATTGAACCCTTTACCATTATGTAATGCCCTTCTTTGTCTTTTTTGATCTTTGTTGCTTTAAAGATTGTTTTGTCAGAAACTAGGAGTGTAACTCTTGCTTTTTTCAGTTTTCCATTTGCTTGGTAAATTTTCCTCCATCCTTTATTTTGCGCCTATATATGTCTTTGCGTGTGTGATGGGTCTCTTGAAGACAGAGTACCAATAGGTCTTGGTTCTTTATCCAGCTTGCTATTCTGTGTCTTTTAATTGGGGCATTTAGCCTATTTACATTTAAGATTAGTAACATTATGTGTGAATTTGATCCTGTCAGCATGTTAGTTGGTTATTATGCAGTCTTGTTTATGTGTTTCATAGTGTCACTTGTCTGTGTGCTTCGGTGTGTTTTTGTAGTGGCTGGTAACAGTTTTTCATTTCCATATTTAGTGCTTCCTTCAGGAGCTCTTGTAAGGCAGGTCTGGTGGTAACAAATTCCCTCAGCATTTTTTTGTCTGAAGAGGATCTTATTTCTCCTTTGCTTATGAAGCTTAATTTGGCTGGATATGAAATCCTGGGTTGGAAATTCTTTTCTTTAAGAATGTTGAATATTGGCCCCCAATCTCTTCTAGCTTGTAGGGTTTCCACGGGGAGGTCTTCTGTTAGTCTGATGGGCTTCCCTTTATAGGTGACCTTGCCTTTCTCTCTGGCTGCCCTGAACACTTTTTCTTTGATTTTGACCTTGGAGAATCTGATGATTATATGTCTTGAAGATGATCTTCTCATGGAGTATCTTACTGGAATTTTCTGGCATTTTCTGACTTTGAATGTTAGCCTGTCTTGCTAGGTTCAGGAGGTCATCCTGGGTGATATTCTAAAGTATGTTTTCCAGGGAAAATAGAAAATATTTTTAAAAGCTTCCTGGACTTTGCAAAGATAATATTTTGGCAAGGAATGTATATATTCATAAAATTAAGTTGGCCAACGTATAATGACCAGAAGAAAAAAATGGTAATAAATTAAATAAATTTCACTTTCAAATTATGTTTTTATTTGGCAGTAAAAGTAAAGATATGACACCAACCAATTAATTGGTTTGCTAACGCTTATCCTTTACTTACAATCTTTAAATGTTTACTGGGCTTTGGAATACTATGATCTGTATTGATACTCCACAAATATTTGATATTTCATAATATTTTATATTTTAACTATAAATAACTGATTTATACCACAGAATTAAAGTCAACTTATGGCTCTCAAAAAACTGGCCGGGTGAGGTGGCTCATGCCTATAATCCCTTTGGGAGGGACCGCTTTGGGAGGCCAAGGTGGTCAGATCATTTGAGGTCAGGAATTTGAGACCAGCCTGACCAACATGGTGAAACCCCATCTCTACTAAAATACAAAAATTAGCCAGGTGTGGTGGCAGGCACCTGTAATCTCAGCTACTCAGGAGGCTGAGAAAGGAGAATTGCTTGCTTGAATCCAGGAGGCAGAGGTTTCAGTGAGCCATGATCACACCGCTGCACTCCAGCCTGGGCAACAGAGCAAGACTCCCCCCACCCAAAAAGCAGAAAAAACCTATGCCTTGCAAAATTACATTTTTGTCTCTCTTTTCCTCATATGTAACCCATCATTTTATTTAAACTTGATGTAGTGATGTCACTGAATCTGTCAATGTCCCCTTTCCTGTCTGCTAAATAATGCCTTGATTTTATTCTAAAGTACTATCCCACCTTATGCACATATCATGTGAAAAAAGCGGTCTGAGACTAGCCCGGAGATTGGGGGTTAAGCATATCATCAGTCAGAGGTACATATTTTAATTAATTCAGTATGGCCAAATGATCCAATACAGGCCAATGTCCTCAAGCCTAGGACTTCTTTAGGGGACTGAGTTAGGAAAGACAGTATCTTTCAAAAAGGAATGCTGATCAATAAATGTAATATACCACATTAATAGAATTAAGGATAAAAATCTTATGATCATCCCCACAGATTTAGAAAAACTTTTGACAAAATTCAACATCTTTTCATGATTAGAACTCTCAACAGCTAGGTAAAGAAGGAATGTTCTTCAATATAATAAATGCTATATATGACAAGCCCACACCTAACATCATACTCAGTGGTGAAGAGCTGAAAATCCTCCTCTAAGATCAGGAATAAGACAAGGATTCCCACTCTTATCCTTTCTATTCAACATAGGTCTGAAAGTCCTCACTAGAGCATGTCGGCAAAAAGCAAAGAGAGAAAGAAAAGAAAAAGGAAGAAAAGGCATCCAAATTAAAAAGGAAGAAGCTAAATTGTTTCTGTGTGCATATAACATTAGTTCATATATAGAAGACACTAAAGACTCTACCAAAAACCTCTTATAAACGATAAGAAAATGCAGGCAAGTTGCAGGATACAAGATCAGCACACAAAAATCAGTAGTATTTCTGTACAGTAACAACAGACTATCGATAAAGAAATTAAGAAAACAATCTCATTTGCAATAGCATCAAAAAATACTCAGGAATAAATTTATTCAAGTGGGCATAATATATGTACACTGAAAAACTATAAAATATTGATTAAATAAATTGAAGGAGTCATAAGTAAATGGAAATATGTCTCATGTTTATGAATCAAAATAATCCATATTGTCAAAATGTCCATTCTATTCAAAGGAATCTACAGATACCTACTAAAATTCCACAGGTATCTTTTCATAGAAATAGAAAAAAAATCCAAAAATACATATGAAACTGTAAAAGCCTCCAAATAGCTAAAGCAATCTTGAACAAGAGCAAAGCTGAAGGCATCACATGCCCTGTCTTCAAATTATATTACAAAGCTATAGAAATCAAAACAGTGTGGTATTGACATAAAAAAGACACATAGGTCAATAGAAAAGAATAGAAAGCCCAGAAATAAACTCACATATATACAATCAACTACTTGTTGATAAAGGCATCAAATATATTCAATGGGGAAAGATAGACACTTAAATAAATGTTGTTGAGAAAACTGAATATCCACATGCAAAAATAAAATAAAATTGGATCTTCATGTTTTATCATAAACAAAAATCAACTTACAATGTGTTAAACACCTAATATATTAAGAAGACCTGAACTGTAAAACACCTAGAAGAAAATAGGGGAAAATCTCCATGGCATTAGTCCTGGCAATTATTTTTTAGATATGAGCCAAAAATCACAGGAAGCAAAAGCAAAAATGGACAAATGGGACTACATCAAACTAGAAAGTTACTGTGCAGCAAAGAAAGTAGCCAACAAAATGAAAAGGCAGCTTACAGAATGAGAGAAAATATTTGCAAGCCATATATCTGATACAGAGTTAATATGCAAAATACAGAAGAAACTCATTCAATTCAATTGCAAAAAAAAAGCTAACAACCCAGTTAAAATACAGGCAAAGGAATTGAATAGACACATTTCTAAAGAAAACATACAAATGACCAAAAGAAATATAAAAAGACGTTCACCATTACTAATCATCATGGGAATGCAAATGAAAACCACAGGAGATAATACCTCATACCTGTTCATCAAACAGGTGTGGCTATCATCAAAAAAGGCAAACGATAACAAGTGCTGGTAGGGATTTAGAGAAATGGAAGGCCTTATATACTGTTGATAGGAATATAAATTGGTAAAACTTATGGAAAACAGCATGGAGGCTCCTCAAAAAAAAAAAAAAAAAAAAAAAAAAGCTACCAGATGATCCAGCAGCAATCTCACTTCTAGGTGCCTATCCAAAGAAAATAAAATCACTATTCAGAAGTACATCTGCACTCCTATGTTCATTGCAGCATTATTCACAATAGTCAAAATACGGAAACAATCTAAATGTTTCTCAACAGACCAATGGATTAGAAAAGTATAATATCTATTATAAGTACATATATATATAACAATATATACTACAACTTATTTATCCATTCATCTTCAAGAGATACTTAGATTGTATATTGTATATGTAGAAATTGTACCTATACAACATATGTGTATATACACACACAGTGGAATATTATTCAGCTTTAAAAGAGAAGAAAATTCTGCTATTTGCAATATGGATAAACCTGGAGGACATTATGTTAAGTGGAATAAGCCAGATATAGAAAGACAAATATTCCTTGTAGAGTCTTAAAAAGTTGAACTCATAGAAACAGAGATTAGAAGTATAGTTATCGAGCGTCAAGGCATGAGGGAAATGGGATGTTGGTTACAGAACACATATTTTTAATTATAAGATGAATAAGTTCTGGAAATCTAATGTAAAATACAGTGACTGACTACAGTTTTGTTTTGTTTTGTTTTGTTTTGTTTTGTTTTGTTTTGTTGTTGTTTTTGAGACAGAGTCTCACTCTGTCACCCAGGCTGGAGTGCAGTGGCACGATCTCGGCTCACTGCAAGCTCTGCCTCCCGGGTTCCCGCCATTCTCCTGCCTCAGCCTCCCAAGTAGCTGGGACTACAGGTGCCCACCACCACGCCTGGCTAATTTTTTGTATTTTTTTAGTAGAGACAGGGTTTCACCATGTTATCCAGGATGGTCTCAATCTCCTGACGTTGTGATCTGCCTATCTCGGCCTCCCAAACTACAGTTAATAATAATATATTATACACTAGAAATTTGCTAATAATATAGATATTAGGTGTTCTTATCACACATGCACAATGGTAACTATGTAAGGTAATGGATATGTTAATTAGATTGATTGTGGTTATCATTTTATAACATATACATATTTTGAAACATCATGCTGTACACTATAAGTACGTATTATTTTTATTTATAAACAATGTATGTTCACGCAAAAAAATGAACCAGTACTGCTAAGTGAATAGGATGTGAGCCTGGATCTGCTATTAATCCTTCTTCTACCTTAAAGGAAGGCTTGACAGAGACTAACGTCACCCTAAAAGGAAGCATACTCAAACAAAGGAAAGAGAAAGTCCTGAAAATATCATTTGAGCACCTGGACTCAGCTCTGTCAGAAGCTTAGACCTTCCCAGGTAGATTTTTATTTCCCAAGGCTATAAAAGTCCTGTTTTGTATAAGCCTTGTAAGTGGGTTTCTGGCACTTGGACCAGAAAGAGTCCTGTTAGTGTAATTTGGCCCAAATGAAAGAAATATTCACCAAGGTGCAACACACATACAAAATTGAGATTGCTTATTTCAGATTAAAAATCACCTTCATATGGAAATTCTACTCTCTATGTTGGAAGGCAATTAAGGAAAAAAAGGGTGGCAGTTGCATAAAATAGATTTTTAGCCTTAGCCCCGCAAATCACTAAACAAACCCAACATAATATAGGTAAACATATCCACTTATTCTCTCATTGGCTCCAAAAATTCTATAGATTCTTTTTGTTGTGAAAATGTAGCATTATTGACTGAAAAGACATAGCTTCTTCATAAGGCAAGAAGATAGTTGTCAAGGGATAAGGCAATACAATGAAGTTATGAGGCAGTAGACCTAGTCCTAAAGGTGTATCAGTTTCTTTTCCTCTGATTGTCAATGTTCTCATCAATTAAATGGGGATAATAAAATTTTCTGTGCTACTCAGGTTTATTGATAAAGAATACAAAAGAATGTTTATGTGTAATCAATAGGAACACATGATACACACAGAAAACTGCAAAGATTTGTTGTTTGCATTAATCACTAAAATATACTTCACAACAGAAAGACAATTTTAAATCATAAACGTAGACCAATATTTACATTCCCAACAGAAATGTCTCTTTTGAAAATAAAAAAAGTATTTAACTTGTATAAGGCTAGCTTCCTGAGTTTACCTTCCACTTGAGGAATAAAAAAGGGATAAAATTAGACGCATCTACCTTCTGCATGTTGAGAACCATGGTATCTCTGAGCCTGTAGAAGCAGATGTCCCAATTCCAACTGCAAAGTTACTGATATTTTTTCTGTTTTAAAGGGAATCTGAAATGATTCCTGCAGCAGTCACAAAGGTTAAATGTTGTTCTCCTTAAATGCTATTGGCAGGTCATCTCTCTGTTCTAGCAGGTAGGTGTAGCGTCTTTCTGTTACCCTGCTGACACGATCACTTCACAGATGGCTTTAGCAGCACTTGAACTGACATTGCAGTTGATTGCCAAATGAACCCTTAACCTTTGCCAATAGTCTGGATATGAAAGGACAAATGTGACCCCACTGACCTTTAGAAGCTGCCTGTTGGAGGTTTTTAGAAGAAACCATAAAGAAGAATTCTTGAATGTATTATCATACTCAAACCACCATCCTTGTCACACCTACTGCTGTGAGTCACTGCACAAAGTGCCATGCTTATGAACTTGCATTAATTAGCAAATGTAATCAAAGTTGATTATAATTAATTACACAATTATGAACATTTCAAGTTTAATTCCACCAAAATTATTTCATAAACTATGTTTTGAATGATGTCTGGCTAAAGGAAAATAGATATGAATGTGTATGTGGATTTCTGATCATGTACCCAACTACTAAAAAAACATTAATATCCCTAATTTTGTACTCATTTTCAAAGACATGGTCTAAAATTCATGTTGACTTTAACATATGATATTGCTTAGTGACCTCTTAAATTGAGCCGTGACCTATCGTGGTACATGTTGCTCTGGTTAAGCTGAAAATAAGCCCTCATTTCACACACAAAATCGATCTTTACCTCTCTGACTCTGTCCTTCCTTATCTCCTTCTCTTCCTTCCCTAATGTTTATTGAGATCTTTCTATATGTCAGATATTATGCTAGTATGCAGGGGATACAACATTGAACAATACAAAAGTTCTCTTTCCTTCAAACAGACTAGAATCCAACAGAATATAGTAAATTTGATTAATGGATAGATACACATATGGACAGATATGTGATAATGCAAATATAGCAAAATGATAATTGTGGAATCTAGGTGGGGAGTAAATATAAGCTGTTGAATCTATAATTCTTTCAACTTATCTGTATGTTTGACAATTTTCACTATAAAATTTGAGATAAAAATTCAGCAGCAGACGTAGAATATCTACGAAGTGCAAAAATTCTTATCATGAGAGATGTGCAAATTATTATGGGAGTTAATCTTTTCTAAGGAATCAAGGAAGGAGTCTGAGATTTTTGAGATGGAGATCATAGTGGGCATTAAAATAGTTACCCCAACAATTATTTTGTGAAACCATGTGTTTGGTAGAGATGGACTCTATCTCCCAGTTGTGGGTTCTATTAATTCAACTAACCTAGGCCTAAGCTAGTCAGCATATGACAATTTCCTGTAATTGAGACCGGGTAAGAAATAAGGCATGCAGGCCAGGTGTGGCTCACGCCTGTAATCCCAGCACTTTGGGAGGCCGAGGCGGGTGGATCACGAGGTCAGATCGATATCATCCTGGCTAACACGGTATGAAACCCCGTCTCTACTAAAAAATACAAAAAATTAGCTGGGCGTGGTGGCGGGCACCTGTAGTCCCAGCTACTCGGGAGGCTGAGGCAGGAGAATGGCATGAACCTGGGAGGCGGAGCTTGCAGTGAGCCGAGATCGCGCCACTTCACTCCAGCCTGGGTGACAGAGCGAGACTCCGTCTCAAAAAAAAAAAAAACAACAAAAAACAAAACAAAAAACTAAGGCGTGTGACTGACTTGGGGCCAAAGCAGAAAGAGTAGGTGTTTTCTGGGGATATAGGGAGCTTTCTTTCTTTGATAGTTTAAAAAAAAAAAAAAAAAAAAAAACTATCGGAAGCCATTTCTGTCTCTCTTTTTTGGTAGTGTGATATCATTTGTTTGACTACTAGGAATGGGACATTCGTTTTTTCTATTATGATAGAAACAAACCTTAAGACGTGGCTGACAACTCAGAGGGTCCCCAGTGATGTCTTAGAGCCAGTGACAAGGCCGTATTTACCCATAGACTTTCAAATTATGTGAGCCAATAAAGTTATTTTAAAAGTTATTTTAAATTACCATTTTCAATTATTACAGCACAGAGTCCTGGAAGATATAAAGGAATATTTTTATTGTTCATTTTGTTTTTAATATACATTGTTCCTAATTTGTCAATTTTAAGTGACTTTTTCAGTGATTTGCCACACTTGAAATGCAGCCTCAGGTGATTGGTCAAAAGACAATATGAATAAAAATACATGGTAATCTTTTATTATTATTATTATTATTATTATTATTATACTTTAAGTTCTAGGGTACATGTGCACAATGTGGTATTCTAATCCTACCTCTAGCTCGTGGGACATTCTATTCCTACTTCTAGCTACCTCTAGCTGGGGTACTTTGATTCTCTCTCATTACCTCCAAAATTGCTCAGTTGTTGTCAATCCCAGGACATCATAGGTATCCTAATCTGATTGTCTTCCAACATTCCAAAATTCTCAATTTGGTCATATATTAAAGTCTGACAACAAACTTTTAACAGTGTTACATTCATTGGACCAAAAGTCTTTATCTTCTTATCACAGGCAATTAAAACAAATGTCTATTTGGAAATAATTCAACCCATCTGTTACTATCTTTTTTTTCTATTTTTAAACCAAAACCTACTCAAATGTTTATAATTATAGAAGGATAAACAAATAAAAGCAAATATTGTCATTGTTTAAAAAATACATTCAGTGTTTGGGAAATGAAGGATTACTTTCTATATAAATATTCAGTACCTAATATTGGCATACTTTATGACTACACCCACACATTCATTCAGGAAAATACTGAAAAGGGTTCTGACTACATTGCGGGGGGCGGTCTGTGGATCAACGAAATATATTTTGCTCACTGCACTGACCTGTAGAAATTCTAAATTGTCCTCCATTTTCATTGGTCATTCTTGCAGATTTAAAGCAAAGATCTTTTGATCTGTAAATCACGGTAATATTCTACAAAAAGAGGTAATTCAGGGTGGAAACCCAAGATCAGGAATGAAGATCAAATATGTCTTCAATAGTCTTCAAATTACTTTTCACAGTATTTTTCCTCTTCCTTCCAAATTCTACTTCCCATCTCCGAATATCTATACCTAAGACACTTGGTGCTGGTATGTTGTCTTATCTATATGGCTCACTTGTTAAAAGACCAGCTTTTATTCCACATCTCAGCCACTTCTGTCCTTTTATTAGTTTTCTATTGCTACCAAAACAAATTACTACAAACACAGTGACTTAAACAACAGAAATTTATTATATGAGAATTCTGTAGGTTAGATATCTGGGCATTCCCGGGCTCAGCTAGTTTTCTGTTCCAGGTTTTGCAAAGCCAGAATCAACATGTTACTGTGTTACTTTCTGGCATCTCCAGGGACAAATTTGTTTTCAAGGTTATTCAGGTTGTTAGCCAAATTCAGATCTTTACAATTGTACGTCTGAGGTTCTCATTTTCTTGCTGGCTGGTAGCAATGGGTGAAGTGGGTCGTTCTCAACTTCTGGCAGTTGAAATGCCCATCCTTGGCTCATAGCTTTCTTCACTCCATCTTCAAAGCCAACAGCACAGTTAGTTTTCATGCTTTGCATCTCTCTGACCTCCCTGTTAGCCTCATTTCTCCTCTTGCTTCTCTCTTCTACATCCCTCTGACACTTCTGCTTCCCACTTCTGCTTTTAAAGACTCGAGATTACACTGGGCTCACAAAGACAATCTCCTTATGTTAAAGTGAGTTGATTAATATTCCAAAATGTCTTCTGCAAAGTTCTTTCACAATATCATCTGGATTAGTATTTGACTGAAAATTCGGGGGATAGTAATAAAGTTGCTCCCTAGACTTTTGCCCTACCACATTCCTCCATCCTTCAAAAATGTAATCATCTTCCCATGTTCCATTCTGTCAACTAGGAAAATTTTACTTAAGATTTATGGTGATAGGAGCTTATTAGCATCCTTCTTCCAAGTGTGCCATATATATATATATATATGTAGCTTTTTTTTAAACTATCAAAGAAAGAAAGCTGCCTATATCCCCAGAAAAAACCTACTCTTTCTGCTTTGGCCCAAGTCAGTCACATGCCCCAAGTCAGTCACAGCCAATATATATGTGTGTGTGTGTATATATATATATATATATATTTTTTTTTTTTTTTTTTTTTTTTTTGAGACGGAGTCTCGCTCTGTTGCCCAGGCTGTAAGGCAATGGCACGATCTGTCTTAGCTCACTGCAGCTTCTACCTCCCAAGTTCAAGCAACTCTCCTGGCTCAGTGTCCCGAGTAAGCTGGGATTACAGGCACATGCCACCATGCCTGGCTAATTTTTGTATTTTTAGTAGAGATGAGGTTTTGCCATGTTGGCCAGGCTGTTCTCAAACTCCCAACCTCAGGTGATCCGCCTGCCTCGGCCTCCCAAAGTGCTGGGATTACAGGCTTGAGCCATCGCGCCTGGCCTTAATATATATTTTTAAGATGTTTATTTTAACTAATTGGAAATGCTGATGAGGGAAAATATTTTGGAGGCTCTTTTGAAATATCCTTTAAAATAACGCTTTACATATGGTTATATTAGAGTGTAATTTGCGGGGTTTTTATGAATTCCCTACAGAAAATAAAGAATGAATTCTACACTCCCACTTTTAGAATACTGAACCTCTTTCTTGTGTTTCCAGACTTCCTCATCTTATGACTATTCGTCTTCCACCGTAAGAGCTACAGTGCTGTGACAGAGGCATGTGACCTAGCCGCAGCCTGGTAAGTGCATCAGAACCAGTCATTAAAAAAGTGAGGGGGGTAATAATGGATCGCTTTCTCTTTATAGCAACAGTAGCAGTACCTGAAAATTATAGGACCAAGCAAAACTTTCAGTTTTATCAATGAGCCAATTTATTATCCAGTTTTGAACATAGTTTCTGGCTACTAACTTTGAGTTTTGTTTTCTAGGACCGCAACAATTATACAAACTCCCAATATCCTTTTAACAAATTCATTGTCTGTTTAATCAGCCAAAGTCTTCTTTTGTTGTTTGTAACCAAGAACACTGAGTAGTACAAACAATATCCAACGTGCTAGTGAAGACTTTGAAGGACGCCATGACACTTCACAAGGAACCCGATTTACTGCAACCCATGGCTCAGATTCTCCGAGAATGGACTACAACTTTGCTTGTCCTAATGGATTTCTGCCACTCATCCAGGGATTTTCCTTTGAAATAATTTAACTATGCTTTTGGAAATTGCCAGTTTAATTCCTACTTTATTTTTGTTTTGATATCAAGTCACTTTTCCCCATTTACATGACTAAGTGTTCAATGAGTTATAAACAAAATAAAAATTGATGTCAATTTTGATACATTTGCATAAGAAATTAGTGTAATGGTTTTAAATTGCATTCCAGTGAAATAAATTCATAGTCACGGTAATTCAGAAAAAAATCTGCATATTTTTTCTTTAATGAAATATGGAATTTTTCACTTAGAAGATTAAAATTCAACTCCTTATGCTCTTAGGCAAGCCTCGAAAGTAGTTTGGAACAAGAGCAACAGAAACAACAAGAAAAAGTCAAAGTATAAACATATCCTTAGCCTAAATGATTTATTTGGGGCTGGACACAGTGACTCACGCTTATAATCCCACACTTTGGGAGGCTGAGGCAGGAGGGTTGCTTGAGCCCAGGAGTTCAAGACCAGCCTGGGCCTCATAGTGACACCTCATAACGAGTCCTCATCTCTACATCTACCCCCTTTCTCCAAAAAAATTTTAAAAACACCTGGGCATGGTGGTACGCACCTGTGGTTCCAGCTACTCAAGAGACTGAGATGGGAAGATTGCTTGAGCCCAGGAATTTGAGATTTCAGTGACCTATGATTCCAACACTACACTTCAGCTTGGACAATAAAGTGAGACTCCCTCTCTTAAAAAAAAAAGGTCCTTTAAACCATGACATCTTGGTGAATCATGATTCTTCCCCAATATCTTCAAAGGAAACTTTCACCAGAAATACTATTTAATTTGTACCAATTTTAAATTCATAGAATACAGATAGTACACTAGGGAAATTATAGTTAACAATAATTTGTTTATTTCAAAATAGCTAGAAAAGAAGAATTTTAATGTTTCCAACACAAAGAAAAGGCAACTGTTTTAGTTGATGGATGTCCCAATTACTCTGATTTGATCATTTCACATTGTATCTAGGTATCAAAATATTACATATACCCCCAAATATGTATGACCATTATATAGCAATAAAAACATGTATACTTTTATAGAATACATATTCTGGAACTTTCTTTGTAAGCTGTGACTAGCTCTAACAAACCTTTATTAGCAAGTCATTACAGGTAACTGTATTGTTACACTAGGTTCATTTAATCTTACCTGACTCAAATGCTATAAATTTAAAAAGCATTTTTTGAGCACTAGAGTGTATTTGTATAAAAGAGAGAGAGAGAGACAGTGTGTGTGTGTGTGTGTGTGTGTGTGTGTGTGAAGCATTCAACACCTTTCCTCCTTGGAGGGCAATTCTTCATTGCAAATATAATTGGAATTGGTGGGTTACTGAACATCACATCCCTCTATAGAAGCTAGGCAGACAAGAGCTATAGAATCCTATTCTGCCCACTTAATTAACAGCCATATGAACACACATGCACAAATCACATGGTCCCCAGTCGACTCTTTCTTACTTGATTGGGAGGTAAACAGGAAGGACAGTTGTATTTTTTTTTTTTTTTTTGAGATGGACTTTCACCCTCATTGCCCAGGCTGGAGTTCAGTGCAATCTCGGCTCACTGCAATCTCCGCCTCCTGGGTTCAAGGGATTCTCCTGCCTCAGCCCCCCCACCCCACCCCCGCCCCGAGTAGATGGAATTACAGGCACGTGCCACCACGCCCAGCTAATTTTGTGTTTTTAGTGGAGATGCAGTTTCACCACGTTGGCCAGGCTGGTTTTGAACTCCTGACTTCAGATGATTCACCTGTCTTGGCATCCCAAAGTGCTGGGGTTACAGGTGTGAGCCACTGTGCCCAGCAAGAACAGTTGTATTCTTTTTTTTTTTTTTTTTTTTGAGACAGAGTCTCACTCTGTTGCCAGGCTGGAGTGCAGTGGCGTGGTCTCGGCTCACTGCAACCTCCGCCTCCCGGGTTCGAGAGATTCTCCTGCCTCACCCTCCTGAGTAGCTGGGACTACAGGCATGCACCACCACACCCAGCTAATTTTCGAATTTTTGTAGAGATGAGGTTTCACCATGTTGGCCAGGATGGTCTCTATCTCTTGACCTTGTGATCCACCAGCTTCAACCTCCCAAAGTGCTGGGATTACAAGTGTGAGCCACTGCCCCCGGCCAAACAGTTGTATTATTATTTTTTTAAATTTTCTTTCTTTCTTTTTTTTTTTTTTTTTTGAGACTGACTTTCACTCTTTTTGCCCAGGCTGGAGTGCGAGGGCATGATCTCGGCTCACTGCAAACTCCACCTCCCAGGTTTAAGCAATTCTCTGCCTCAGGATCTCAAGTAGCTGAGATTATAGGTGCGTGCCACCACGCCCCACTAATTTTTATATTTTTAGTAGAGACGGGGGTTTCACCATCTTGGCCAGGCTGGCCTTGAACTCCTGACCTCGTGATTTATCTGCCTCGACCTCCCAAACTGCTAGGATTACAGGCGTGAGCCACCGCGCCTGGCCTGTTGTATTCTTAAATATGATACCAAGCTCCCTGCTTCCAAGCCTTAGGCAAGCTTTTCCTCTACCTCTCCTGCCCTCCTCATACCTTACAAGTCTGATTCTCCAGACTTTAGTCTACTCTGTGAATTCCTAAAGCTTTTTATTAAATTTGTTTTTTTCCTCAGGGTATCGAGAGATTGTTTCAGTTGCTTTCAATGAGGAAACTAAACACTCAAGAGTGACGTACTATAAGTTTTAAAGAATGGTATTGACTACTTAAAACAGTGCCAGATATTTGGGGAAAGTAATTTTATGTATGAAGGAAGGGCATGAAAATGCATATTATTGTTAGGTTTACAAACATTACTGATTATCTGAATCACCCCTCTCTTTCTAACTCCTTTTTTAATAGCATTAGAAATATTCTATGTAAATAGTCCAACATTCTCCTTTCCAAGCAAGGTCGTCCAGTTTTTCCACAAATAAAAAACTATCAGGTTTAAAGCTTGGATTTAGCAAATATGTACTCTTTCAAAAAGACTGAATGAAAAACTAAACAGAAATATTTGTAAAATCAACTTTGACTGCCATGATGATTATATACAAAATTTTAGAAAACTGATTATTCTTGCTTCCCCAACCTTCTCAAATTGAGCTTATGCACTTTCACTGTTTAAATTTTATTTGACATAAGTGAGAAGCTAAGTAAGTAAAAGCACTTTTAAAAAGATCTGCAATGAGGATCATTGTATTAGAGTTTCAGACAAGGAACTCAGCTCATGAGCTTGCCTTCAGATTTAATTCTAGATGTCCTTTCTCTCTTGCACATGTGAATAAACAGAAAAAAGATTTCCGTTAGCTCGATCTCTGGTTTAAGCAGAAATGCAATCATCATGGTTCCTAAGTGTTGTGTGTACACTTTCTAACTCAATTTTCTCAGCATTATTTAGACACGCTCACTGCTAAAACCTGATAGGAAGCCTTCCCACCCATACCAATTAACCTAACCCTGCAATTTTGTGTTACCCAGTCGTCCTTGAATCCTCCCTTGTTCTCCTCTATGCTGCTTATTTGAATTGGTTTGAATCCTTGCCCAGAAAATGTTTGTAATCTAAAAATTGTCTTAATCTTTTTGGTACAATTTTTCCTGCTTTTTAATTTCCTGAGAAACCCAAGTGAACTTCCGGACTTTTCTGCAGATCGCATGGAACACTATTTTTTAAGTGCAATTTTCTTTTTGTGTTTTGCCCATAGGAACTGGCATGTTAAAAACAGCAGTCATTGGCCAAACCACAGTAAAGAGCTTCTCTCCCTTCCATTCTCATGGGCTTTCTAGGTGTTTCCCTCAGCAAGATCCATGAGGGAAAGAAAAGACAAAAATAGTACTTATCTATCAAGTTAACAGTCTCTGAAAGTTAGGCATTGGAAAATATACATCAGTTGAGAGCTATGAAGTCAACTGTGCACTTGGAGTTACAAATTCTATGGATATTTGAGATTGGGTTTATACAAATGAATGAAGCTTAGAGAAATCTACAAGATGGCTCACATAGAAAATTAATTACTAATGCATATTTACTTAGGATCATAAAAGTAAGAGATAGTCACAAAAGTAAGAGACAGTCGTTAGAAGGGATGAGTACGTTCTCTGAAAAGGTTTCATTTAAAACTTGGTACTCTTTAGGTCATCACCTTTAGCCCTTCTGTAAGTAAACTTGAAATTACAGAATGGGTTCATGGATTTAACTGGATTATTTGGAATGCACAAATTTATGTATTTGTCTTCAAATAAGGACAAGGAGGTAGGTATCCACACTCCTTCAGTTTCAGAAAGGAAGTGACTGAGACTTAGAATTGTGACGTGTCCAGAGTTGCATAGCTAGTAGCTGGTAGAAGCAGTATTTGAATGCAGGTCTATGTGGCTACAGAGCTAAAGTTCTTAAACACTTCTCATCTCCATGGAGAGCTACAATGTTTATGTCATAAGTATAAATCTTACACGTTAAAACTTATTTGAGATGAAAGCTGTACCTGGCAGGAACAACTGTACTTGTGCTGTTTTTTATCCTTGGCAATGGGAAGGGAAGTCATTCCCACGTAGGCCAGAAATTTTTCCATTTGTGCAATAATAATTTGCCTTTCTCTTAAAAAATAGAGAGGAGTTGACATTTCACAAAGGACATGACATGAATACAAGCCAACCTAGAGCGTTTGCTTAATCTGCAATTATAATAATCTGTATGTTCAAAAGCTCCAACTATGAGACCAAACCTACTTATAAGCAGTGATTTGGTGATTCAGTCCTTTTGTAGAATTATTTGATGGACCAGGATAGAATATATTCTAGATATATAGGAGACTGGTGTGGTTTGAATGGCTTATTTTTAATGCATGTGTGTGAATGTGTGTGGGTGTTTGTATGTAATGGACATAGATAAAAAGGACAATATTCAATACCATCTAGTTTCAAATAATTATTTTAAGAGTTACCAAATGATACATGGGTTCAGGGTGTACTGTGTTTTTATTCTCTTATTCAGATAAACCCATGTATCCTAGAATTCATGCATAAATTGAGTTTTCTTTAATAGGTTGACTGTCTTCCTCCTTTAAAAGCATATGATCAAAATTGCATACTCTGAAATTGTCTTTCTTATATTCTATTTACTGCTGAGATGCTTCCCACATCAAAATATGTCAGAAAAAGCTGGAATAAATAGCTAACCACATTACAGAATACATCAGTAAACTATGGTAAGCCTAGAACTATGTATATTGTATTACTATGTCTTCTCAGTTTTCAAGCTAAAGACAATTTATAAAATAACTGTTTTTCCTCAGAACAAACATTTCACCAAGAAATATAATTTTTTATTTGTTCATGTCCTAATATATTTGAAAGGCAATTTTTAAAAACTAATGTGTCACCGGGTGCAGTGGCTCATGTCTGTAATCCCAGCACTTTGGGAAGCCGAGGCTGGTGGATCACGAGGTCAGGAGTTCGAGACCAGCCTGACCAACATGATGAAACCCTGTCTGTACTAAAAATACAAAAATTAGCTGGGCATCGTGGTGTGCACCTGTAATTCCAGCTACTCAGGAGGCTGAGGAAGGAGAATCACTTCAACCCAGGAGGTAGAGGTTGCAGTGAGCCGAGATTATGCCACTGCACTCCAGCCTGGTAGACAGAGCAAGACTCCGTCTCAAAAAAAATCCAAAAAACAGGCCAGGTGCGGTGGCTCATGCCTGCAATCCCAGCACTTTGGGAGGCCGAGGTGGGTGGATCACGAGGTCAAGAGATCAAGACCATCCTGGCTAACACGGTGAAACCCCGTATCTACTAAAAATACGAAAAAAAAAAAATTAGCCGGGTGCGGTGGCGGGTGCCTGTAGTCCCAGCTACTTGGGAGGCTGAGGCAGGAGAATGGCGCGAACCTGGGAGGCGGAGCTTGCAGAGAGCCGAGATCGGACCACTGCACTCCAGCCTGGGCAACACAGCAAGAATCCATCTCAAAAAAAAAAAAACAAAAAAAAAACCCAAAAAACAAAACTAGCGTGTGTGTGTGTGTGTGTGTGTGTGTGTGTGTGTGTGTGTGAGAGAGAGAGAGAGAGAGAGAGAATGTGTGTCGTAAGTCAGAGCCCACAAAATTAGAGTCTACGGACTTTTGTTAGTCCACAGAAAGGTTTTACTTGAACATAAATTTAAGCCAGTGTTTAAACCATATGAAAATATAGACTCTGGATTTCATCATGAACTCTCCTATATTAAAAAGCAGTAGTTGGACAAGATGATCCTTTAGCTCTTTTGGTTTGAAACAGTCAGAGATGTTGAGTCACCCTTTGCTGAAGGTTGAGAGTTACTATCTACCATTTTAAAATAAAAGATGCTCTGTCAGTTACCACTAAAGTGGTACTTTACCATGGTAGAGCTGGAGAGGAGGTTAGTTAGTAGGAATGAATGGTAAAGTTGTTTGCAACTTTCTAAGGCAACACCTTTCAAATTTTAGAGTATATAAGAACTACCTGTGAACTTGTGAAAATGCAGATTCTCTGCTATACCCTCAAAGGTTATGATTTAGAGATTTGGGATGGGGACCTGAGTATTTGCATTTTGAAAAAGATTCCCAAGTGAGGCTGATGTTGATATACAGACCACAGTCCCACAGTTAGCACAGACTTACTGGAAATAGAATCTCAACCATTCAATTGACATCATATACAAAAATCAGCTCAAAATGTAATCAAAGTCCCAAGAGTTCAGAGTTATAACAAAACTATAGAATCTTAGAAGCAATAAAAGTAACTATAAAACCTTAAAAGAAAATCTTCATGATCCTGAATTATGCATTTTTTTTAATATCTGACACAAAACACAAGCATCATTGTCAACAAAAACAAATGACCAGGCATCATCAAAATTGAAAACTTTTTTTTTTTCCTTGAGATAGAGTTTTGCTCTTGTTGCCTAGGCTGGAGTGCAATGGCGCAATCTCAGCTCACTGCAACCTCTGCCTCTCGGGTTCAAGCGATTCTCCTGCCTCACCCTCTCGAGTAGCTGGGACTACAGGAACCCACCACCAAGCCTGGCTCATTTAGTGTTTTTATTAGTGATGGGGTTTCACCATGTTGGTCAGGTTGGTCTTGAACTGCTGACCTCAGCTGATCCACTGGCCTCGGCCTCCCAAAGTGCTGGGATTACAGGCGTGAGCCACCGCACCTGGCTGAAACCTTTTTTCCTTTTGCTTGAAATGACACCAGTAAGAAGGTAAAAAGAATTCAATGTAGTAGAAATTTTGTATAAATAATATATCTGATGAGGGACTTACACCAAAAATAGAAAAAAAATTCTTACAAGTATATAATAAAAAGATAAATAGCCCAATTTAAAAATGGCAAAGAATTTGATAGACAGTCATCCAAAGCAGGGTTGTACAGAGGCAGCCACAGCAACACACAGAGCCATCTGTTGGGTCGCAGGTGGGATAGGAGACTGAAAGGCCTGCTCCAGAGGGAGGATGAACACTTTAGAGGAAGATAACTTCTTACTGTCTTTCTCCTCCACCTCTGCTGAACAATTTTATTCTGTAGCTGGATATTTATACTACATTATGGTGGATAACGAGTTGTAGTTATTACAGAGAAATTTCTTGGACATATACTGTCAGGAATTTGAAGACAAGTTAAAGAATAAACTCACCTACATGACTACTTTTAATGAATATATTTATTTGGTGGAAAAGTATATTAAAGACCAGCTGCTGGGGCAGATGCTTGGATTTAACATGGCAGCCTTATGACATTACAGCACCATAAAGATGAAGCGGTTGGTGACATATTTGACATACTGTTCACATTTACAGGTTTGATAGCATTTAAAGAATGATTTCTGGACCACAAAGAAGAAAAACAAGGCTGGGGTTGGACTTAAGCAGTGGTTTACTGGTGACTTCATTGTGTAAATCATCTTCTATGTTAGCTTCCCAGAACGATCTGAAGCACTAGGTCCTACCTCCAGCCAACGAATGAGATCATTCTGGATGTCACCAGGCCAAAAGGCCAATAGGCTCAGCTAATAATGACTTAAGAATAAATTTCGGAAAGACTTACTGTGTTCTGCAACTATTCCCTCACGTTATGTATTGATGGGCCAAAACCAAAATGACCTAACCCTCCTGGACATATTTCTCCTGAAACACCTTCTTGTATTCATTAACCTTAGTACGCCTCCTGAAGTGTTTAGGAACCCTAATACTCCTCTCCTCCCCAAGTAAACACTGCTCTCACATGCTTCTGAGTCAGACCCCTCTGAAGAAAGCCCATGTCAAGCATCTCACCCGGAAGACCCCTGGCCCAGCATACATGTTGGTGTGTTAACAGCATGGAATAACCCACTATCAGGAGCCCTCTTTGTCCCAGGAGCTTTGCATGAATCTTTTTGCGCACTCACAGCTCTTTTGTACATGGTTCAGAATTTCAGTCCTTCAGTCTCAATGGGTTTTTTATATTTATCTAGTGTGTTAGTCAAGCCAGCTGCCTGTCTTGATATTTCGGAATCTTCTATGATGACAGCTTGTCTTGGCTTTAGGAATCAACTGATGAAAGAGATGACCTTTACCTAAAAACTACATGTGAAAGTCAACTACTAGTCTTAACATTTGCAGTCATTGTGTCACTATGTCTTCTTCTGGTCCTGATGTAGTATCACTATTTCTAGAAGTCTATCTTAAGCATTCTTTACAGAAAAAAAGAAATATATATATATTTATATATTTCTTTATATATATATATATCTCTCTCTCTATCTCTCTCTCTCTATATATATATATCTATAGATAGAGAGAGAGAGAGAGATGAATACTCAAGCTTACCTAGTGGCTATCATCTTGGAATTTTCATGATTATTCAAAGATCAAAGTATTATATGCTATGTGCTTTGTAGTCTTTAGTGCTATGAAGGCAAAAATGCTTCCTACATTGTCCTTTGCTCCTATTTTACTGGGCACCAATGAATGCATGCTGTGTGTTGGAGACAGACTAAAAGGTATCCTGTTCCTATAGCGTGTTAAATGTGTCTGTGCATATTTGCAGAAAATCCTTTCTGTATAAACCAGTTTGTTAGGTTCACTGTTGGGGTAGGTACAGACTCTATAATTTCTTCTTTCTATAAAAATCTCTCCTACCAAGATGGCGTTCCACTGATTGAGCTCAATATGGGAAGAACGTAGTAAATAGCTTTACTGGTCATCTGTCTGCTTTGGTTTAGTACAATGTTTGGTAGAATATTACTTACAAGAAAACATACACGTCACATATCTAGAAAAAAAAAGTAGCAGCTTAATTCCCAATCCTTTGAGTTTCTAAAAGTAAAAACAAGGATCTGTACTGACTTTTCACATCAATGAGCTACAAGCTATGTGTTTTTCTGTAGTGTTGTGCACCATGAAGGACAAAAAAGATATGCAACTAACCAATAAGCACATGAAAAGATTCTCGACTTAATTAGCCACCAAGAAAATTAAAATGAAACCCATAATGAGATATCACTTTACACACACTAGGATGGTTATAATCAAAACAAAGGACAAATAGCAAGTGTTGGTAAGGATATGAAACCATCGTACATTGTTGGTGAGAACGTAAAATGGTGCAGTTCCTTTGAAAAATAGCCTGGCAGTTTCTCAAAATGTTAAGCATTGATGCAGTAATTTCACTCACAGGTATAGGTGAAAGCATATGTCCACAAAAAAAAACCTTATGTATGAATGTTCATAGTAGCATGATTTATGATAACTAAACAAATGGGAACAACCCAAATGCCCATCAAATGATGAGTGAATAAATAAAATGTCTTATATCCATAAAATGGGATAGTATTTGGCAATAAAAAGGAATGAAGTACTGATGCATGCTTCAACATAAAATAACTTTGAAAACATGTTAGTTAAAAGGATAAAGTTACATAGAAACTACATATGTTATAATTTCTTTCTATGGAATGTCTAGAATATACAAATTTATAGAGACAGTGAATAGATTAGTGGGGTGGAGATAGGAAGATTTTGGTCAGGTAATGGGTAGGGGATATGTGGTTTCTTTCTGGAGTAATAAAAATGTTCTAAAATCAATTTTGTTCATGGACACACAACCCTCAGAATATACTAGAACCCATTAAATATACACTTTAAATGGGTGAATTGCATGCTGTGTGAATTATATCTCAATAAGGGTGTTTTTGTAAAGACACTCAAAAACATTTATTGAGCAATTACTGCATATTGATCACTGTCTTTTCCCTCTTTGTGACCTTCAGAGTTTCTGATTAAATAGCAATTCTTCTGGAAATTTTTTTAACCACCTTTCCCATTGATCGGATTTGATGCTTTGACTAAGTACTTTCAACAAACCCTATACTTCCCCTTCAAATCATGTCTCAGACTTTAATGTGATTGATTATCCCATGTTCGGTCACTTTTCTCAGATTCTAAGTTTCAGTAACCATGAATGTCTTGTCTTCTATTATCCTCATAACTTACTACGGTGCTTGGTAGATGTGATACTTAATAAATTATTCCTGAATTAATTAATGAAGGACACATGGTCTTATGGGATTACAAACTTCTTTCTTTCTAATTTCATAACAGTCCTGTAGCATGAGGTGAAGAGAAAGTCAAGGACTTCCTCTGCTATTCATAAGCATGGCCAAGGGGGAAGACAAAGTGACTTTCATTGCTACAAAAGACTACAGTGGAATATTTTTTAAAAGGAGCATCAGATTGCAGTGAGAAGACATTAAAATCCAGATTACATTTTTTAAGCTGTGCAACCCTGGGCAAGTTCCTTCACCTAGGAACTTCTGCATATCAGTGAAATACTGGAAATTATACCCACTTCTACTTTCTCCACTGGGTGGCTTGGAAGAACAAATAAGATAACCTGAATGTTAACCCCTTGTAGAAATTTGAAACTGTACAATTATAAGTTGCTAATGGTGTGGCACATTAGTAAAGAAGTAAAGCTATAACAATTAAGGAAAGACCTGTGTTTACGTCAGAGCCCTCTAGCAGGTATTCTAAAGTGCCTACACAATAGCCAGCCTTTCTTCCTTGCTAACTATCTAATTTTGTTTGAGCAGCCATGTGCCTAGCTATGAGGAATGACTTATGAATGGTCTAAGCAAATCATTAAAATGATATTTCCCTTACCTGCAATCGGTCTTGGAATTAACAGGTGATTCAGTTCTTGCCAATACAAAGTACTCTAAATTCATTGTATGTGCCAGAGAAAGATTTTCCTCCTTGAAAAGAGGCACACCAAGAAAACCTTTTTATACTCACCTGTTTTGCTTCCTGTGTAAGATTCTTACCTATAAAGACCTGAGGCAGAACAATACTGCCACCATCCTCTAGCCATGAAGGAAGGAACAAGAGAACCAGAGATGCTGCACCAACAACTGCTACTGAGTCAACCTCGGACCCACATACCCCCAGACCTCTTGTCATCTAAGGTGAATGACTGCCTTTAATATTGAAGCCACTGTTGATAGGGTTTTGTAATAGTGGTTGTTGAAAGCATTCTAACTCATGCTCAGCTCTTTGGGAAATGCAATGGCATGGTGACCTGGGGAACACTAGGAATCTATCAAAATGCCTTTTTATGTTATGTAAAGCAGCAGCAGTTTAATGTCCCCTTGTGTTTTGCCACTTTAGAGCAGTAACTATAGGCAATTAAATTTCTGAAAATTGGAAAACTTGCTCCTTAATTTAGGCAGATTAATTGAAATGATAAAAGTTATTTTAAAAAGTTCATGTCTAAGTACTTGTCACACTAATTTTGATCAAAGGAGAGAAGACAAAGCACAGGAGAAAACGGTGGGTTTCACAAACCTGTGGGATTTGCTGATCTCTATCGTATTAATAGATTCCTATAGGTTCATGCCACTGCTTTCAACAGGGTATAATATATAGTTGAAGGCTAATTATGCAATTGTCTGTGTGGCTTTTGTAGTCTTGCTTTCCCAGCCAACATCTGTTTCTTTTATTAGAGTAACCATATTAATGCAGCTGTGAGGCGCAGAAATAGAGGCAGGGACAACACACACCCATAAAAATTTGTGACAATTCTTTCATTATTTTATCAAATAAAATGAGTTGTTTCTATCCGGTTGAGTTTCTTTGGAGGTAATTTTATTGAAAATAAACAAGGGCTAACTCTCCACCCAGACAATGAGTGGCTTACTTAATGGAGATTTAGCACTTACGTATTTTCTTAATATTCAATCTTAATACTTCTTAATACTGCCTGAAAAGAACAACTATTGACACATTGTTTTCAATGAATTTTTTTCTTTTCTCTTCAGAGATAAACCCAAGGCAGTCTCAGCTTTGGCAAATATGGATAACGCTGAATGATTCTAAGGTACTCTAAAGAGAGTCATTCTTTTCTAAAAAGGATGACTCCAAGCTTATTGTTAGAATAACCCTTTACTGTATTCATATTTGTGCCCCCAATGCTGGGAAAAGTGCCTGGCACACAGTAGTGGTTCAACTAATTTTTTGTGGAATGAATGAGGGAATGAACAAATTGGTAATTCTCCAAATTTTACCACTGTAATTCTCTTTTATTTCCTTTTCTAGATCATTGTATTAGTCCATTCTCACATTGCTATAAAGAAATACCTAAGAATGGGTAATTAATAAAGAAAAGGGGTTTAACTAGCTCATGGTTCTGCAGGCCGTACAGGAAGCATGATGCTGGGATCTGCTCAGCTTCTGGAGAGGCCTCAGGAAATTTGCAATCATGGTGGAAGGCAAAGGGAGAGCAGGCACATCCCATGGCCAGAGCAGGAGCATATGAGCGAGGAGGGAGGTGCTACACACTTAATGACTAGATCTCGAGATAACTCACTCACTATCACGAGGACAGCACCAAGAGGGACTGTGCTAAACCATTCATGAGAAACCTTCCCTCATGATCCAATCACCTCCCCCCATGATCCAATCCCCTCCCCACAGGTCCAATCTCCAATGTTGGAGACTGCATTTTAATATGAGATTCGGGCAGGAACACACATCCAAACCATATTAATCACGGACCTTGTGCTTTTGTAAAATATCTCTCAAACCATATGTGTTAAGAATTTTTGAACCATGAAGACACATGTGACTGCATAATTACCACAGATCAGCAAGAGCTAGAGTGAAGAATTGTTGGATTTCAGTTTAATTTGGTATGCAGATATCAACTGAGAGTAGGTAATATGTGGTCTCCATTAGGCATTTGAAACATTGAAAATAACTCGCAGACCCTCGCTTATTGAAGAGAGCATGTGAAGAGAATCTAGATTCCGGGTCACTGGTGGGCCACGTGGGCTGTCCTGGAGAATATACTTTGACCAAAAAAAAAAAAAATTACTCTCCTGTATTTGGTAAATTCATCCTCCTTATCCAAGCCCACATCTCCAAGTAAGACCACCAGGAAGTAATAGAAGGGGCTGTCATGCACTTAGATAGCAAGAACAGCTTAGTCAGCCCTAAGATGGAAAATATTATAAGAAGATTATCTTTGCATCTCACTGTCCTCTGTGAGAGTAAAGAAAATGACCTAAACCACCTCATATGTGACCTCGCAGATCAACCATATTGCCATTTTACTTGACATTGTCCTTCATACAAACATTGTTCATTCCCTGTTCCTAATTTCCTAGGTCATGATAACCTTAAGAATATCCTTCTAAACTCTCTTCTGCTCACTAAAATGCCATTCTTTCTTATATCAATGTATACAGTCAATTCGTTATGACATAATATTTTCCTTCCTTGAATTCCTGAACAACGTATAGTCTTCCCCACATTATTTGACCATGCATGGTCTGTCCTAAATTATTTCACAATGCACAGCCTATCCCATATTATGGCAGCATATATAGCCCACACTGTATTAACTTCACCATGATCACTATTACTTTTAACAATAGATACCCATTATTCTTTACATATTATGTGCTAGGTGCCATATTAGGTGCTTCATAAATATATGTCAGGGTTACATCTCAGGGTATATCCTGAGAACAGCATTTCTCCTCCCCTAGCCTAGGCCAAAGTAGAAACAAAGACTCAAAGTTGGTTCTGGTCTAAGTGTACATCCTTGATCAAAAAGTGACCATGTCTCCCCTTGAGTCTTAGACAAAGTAATTATCACTAGGCTTCCTTTTGATTTTTTTTCTCAATCATGGACCCTGTGCATTTATAAAAACAGGGTTTGAGAAAGGGCCAGGAGTCGACAAAGGGGAAAAGAGTGGAGGGTTCTGATTAACTGTAGAATAAAGAAGTTTTCATTATTGAGGACCATGGAGAGGCGAGTGGAAAGGGCAACTCTTCCAATTGTTCTAGGGAATGGTTGGCCCTTCATTTAAGGAAAACCCACTATCTCAACAATCCTGGTCACTTGTAAGTCCCTGAACTAAGGGTGTCCATATTTAGGAACTGTTATGTAGTTCTTCCTG
The DNA here is from genome assembly GCF_000001405.40 of Homo sapiens. Classification (NCBI taxonomy): domain Eukaryota; kingdom Metazoa; phylum Chordata; class Mammalia; order Primates; family Hominidae; genus Homo; species Homo sapiens. Next base: position 162,768,819 of record NC_000005.10, read on the forward strand.
CTTACTCTGAATTAAGAGACCTTGGTCCACATTCTATCTAGAAAAATTTCATAGAAACCTATTTTCGGGTTTATGTATCTCATAAGTTTGCCTCAATTATAAACCCCTAAAGAACTAGAATAGTATAAATTCAATTATAAACCTCAAAGAACTAGAATAGTGTTAAATTCATCCTCAGGATACAATAATTATCCTACTAGTTAACCAGAGAAATTTAGAAATGACTTTATTATTTTACTTCTCTGTCTAAGATATAAAGTACTAGTTAAGAAAATTTTTCAGGTTTGTCTACTGTATAATTTGTGACATCACTGATCACGAAGGAATTGATTATTTTTGCCACCTAATTAGTGAAACGAACCTCCACTTAGCACTTTGTGCTGAAAACATGTCAGAACTTCATTACATAGATATTGGAAACCGCAATCTGGTTGCCATGGTGACAAGCTCCCACAGGGAGTTTAGTGTTTAGCTGACATACCCTGATCAGACAGAGTGTGATTAAAGGAAAGAATCTAACTTAAAGCACTTTTGTGTTCAAAACACTGCAAAATTATGTCTTTGAAACAGCCAATTTCAAATAAAATCGCTGCATAAGTCTCCATAGAAATAAAGAAGTTTCTTGTTTTTTGGTATCTCATTATCCTGTGACCTGCATTTTTTACTTTGAAGATAAAAATTATGATCACAGAAACACTCAGAACATAATCCCCATTGTTTCAATATTTTATTGATTCCAATAATGCATAAATGATGTTAGAAGTCACACATTTAAGCCAAGGCAATGAAGACAAAAGATGCATGGCCTTAATACAAAAAGTAAATCAGAAACAAAGACTGCTTTATGTTAATATGATTCTGTGACGGTAATTTACAAAGAAGCATGTTAAAAAGACAAGTCATTAAAAGTTACAGCTTTGTTTGGTTAAATGCCAGGTTTTTTTCCTGTCCAGTCTGTATGCATTATCGCTGCATTCATTTGCAATGCTTCATTTGTACAATATGACCTAAATATATGAGATTTAGTTGCAGCAAATCACAGATCTCAACCTTGGAAGAAGAAAGATATTGGGCCAGAAACCAAGGTATTAGAAAACATGCAACCCAGTTTGAGAAGTTTAAATGTTTAAAAACATTTAGTTTCTGCTGACATAAACTCAACAGGAGGCAACAAGTCATTATTGTGGTCCTATATGATCCAGAACCGTTAGTTCTGCCACTGGATATTCAAATTTGAGAACAAAAAAGAGAACTCCTTTGAGAATCTAACCATGTAATATTATAGATTGCATTGGTGAACACTGACTCAAAAGAGCCCGAAAATAACTATAAAAGCATGTTCACAGAAAATCATTACACAGAAATCATTTTGCCAGTCTGAATAATAAGTCAGCAAAATTATGAACACAAGGAAAACCTAGCCACTTGACTTTAGGAGTCAATAGGACCAGGTGCGGTGGCTCACACCTGTAATCACAGCACTGTGGAAGGCCCAGGCAGGCGGATTGCTTGAGCCCAGGAGGTCGAGACCAGCCTGGGCAACATAGTGAAACACCGTCTCTACTGAAAATACAAAAATTAGCCGGGCTTGGTGGGATGCACATGTAGTCCCAGATACTCGGGAGGCTGAGGTGGGAAGATCGCTTGAGTGCAGGAGGTAGAGGTTGCAGTGGGTCATGATGCCATGATCACGCCACAGCAGCCTAGACAACAGAGTGAGACCTTGTCTAAAAAAAAAAAAAAAAAAAAAAAAGTCAGTAGCAAAGCCTTTAGCATAAATTGTCTTTCTGGCCTCAACTTCCCAGAAAGCACAAAAGATAAATATGGTTTTTATATAATAAAAATCTAAAAGCAACCTTTTGATAATCCAGATCCAATCTACTCAAGGCAGAATCATATATATTAAACTGTCTATGTTTCTATAGAATTCTTTTTGTTGTTGTTGGTTTTTTTTTTTTTGTTTTTTTTGAGACGGAGTCTCGCTCTGTCGCCCAGGCTGGAGTGCAGTGGCGCGATCTCGGCTCACTGCAAGCTCCGCCTCCCGAGTTCACGCCATTCTCTTGCCTCAGCCTCCCGAGTAGCTGGGACTACAGGGGCCCGCCACCACGCCTGGATAATTTTTTGTATTTTTAGTAGAGATGGGGTTTCACCGTGTTAACTGGGATGGTATGGATCTCCTGACTTCCTGATCTGCCCGCCTCGGCCTTCCAAAGTGCTGGGATTACAGGCGTGAGCCACCGCGCCGGGCCTAGAATTCTTACTTATTTTAGGTTGGCAGTAGCCAAGTATATTTGGTAGAGGGTGTGTCTTCAGAGTTACAAAGCTCTGTTTGTTTAACATTTGAGTGTCAAATTTGTGGCTTCACTTTTAGCTGTCTTTATGAAAGCTAAAATCTCTCCTAAGCACTATGCTGAGCTCTCAACTCAACGATTGGAGCTTTTGCACATAGGCTCACAGCTGTGGAGTATTTTTTTAAGTTGTGTGAATGATTTATGAATAAGTGTCTGAGCTTTAAATGTTATTGGCCGGGTCCAGTGGCTCCCACCTGTAATCCTAGCACTTTGCGGGGCCAAGGCGGGAGGATCACTTGACCTCAGGAGTTCGAGACCAGCCTGGCAACATGGCGAAACCTCATCTCTACTAAAAATAAAAAAATTGGCCGGGCGTGTTGATGATGCCTGTAGTCCCAGCTACTCTGGAGGCTGAAGCAGGAGAATTGCTTGAACCTGGAGGTGGAGGTTGCAGTGAGCCAGATCATGCCACTGCAATCCTGCCTGGACAACAGAGTGAGACTCCATCTCAAAAATAAAAATAAATAAATGTTATTGTTGGATATGTACTGAGTCAGTTCCTACTTGTCATAGAGGAAGATGGCTGTGCATCTTTTGATTTATGTAACTATACTTAAATACCAGTCTATAAAAAAATAAGAAAAAATAAGATAACTTTTTCTTTCTTAATTAAGCCATTTATTTTAAGATAATTTTAGATTAATATTTAGCTTTAATAAATAATGTAGGTAGCTCTTGTGCAGCCTTTAGCCAGTTTTTCTCAATGGTAACATTCTATAATACTGTAGTACAATATCCCAACTAGGATATCCCAACATTGATGCCATCAAGTTGCAGAACATTCCCATCACCAAGAGGATCCCTCGTGTTGCCTCTTTATAAACATAACCACATGATACAGAGACCTATCATCAGGCTGTTGCATGTATTAATAGTTTGTTCCTTTTTATTGGTAGATAGTATAACATGGTATGGATGTATCATGGTTTATTTAACCATTCATTCACTGAAGGACACCTGGGTTTCCAATTTTTGATGATTACAAATAAACCTTATATAAACATTCGTTTACAAGCTATTGTGTAAACATCAGTTTTCATTTCTCTGGGACGAATGCCTAGAAATGCAATTAATAAGTCATATGGTAGTTGCATGTGTAGTTATTTAAGAAATCGACAAACCATTTTGCAAAATGGATGTACCCTTTAATATTTCCACAAGTGATGTATGAATGATCCAGTTTCTTGACATCCTCACCAGCATTTAGTGTTGTTATGTTTAGGTATACCATTAGCTATTCACATGTTAGGGTTTAATTTGTGTTTCCCTAACAGCAAATGACATTGATGATATTTTTTGTGTGCCTATTTGCCATCTGTACATTCTCTTTTGCCTTTTGCTCATTTTTCTAATTGGAATGTTTTGTTTTGTTTTGTTTTGTTTTTACTGCTGACCTTTGAGAGATCTTTATACACTGTAGTTCTAGTTCTTTGTCGGGGGTATGGTTAGCAAATGTTTTTTTCCCAGGCTGTAACTTGTCTTTTCATCTTCTTAGTAGAACTTTTCACAGAGCAAAGTTTTTAATTTTGAAGTCTACTTTGTCAGTTTTTCATTGTATGTATTATGCTTTCAATGTCAGATCTAAGAATACTTTGCTTTTCTCTAGATCCTGAATATTTTCTCTTACGATTTTTTAAACGTTATGTAGTTTTATGTTTTACAGTGAAACTCATGATCAATTTTAACTTAATGTTTGTATAGTGCGTAAGACTTAAGTTGAGGTTCTTCTTTTGTGTTTATGATATCCTGCACCATTTGTTAAAAAATTTTGTTCCTGCACAATTTGTTTAAAAAAAAATCTTTCCTCAATGAAATCAATTTGCTCCTTTGTCAGCAATCAGTTGGACATATTTGTGTGGGTCTGTTTCTGGGTTTCTGTTGTGTTCCACTGGTCTCTGTCTGTGACAGTACCACAGAGTCAGATTACTATAGACATATAAATAAGTTTTGAAATCAGGTAAACTGGTTTCTCCCACTTTATTCTTTATATATTTTTAAGCCATTCCAGTTCCTTTGTCTTTTTATTTTAGAATGATATTGTCTGTATTTTTTTCCTGGGATTTTCATAGGATTTGTGTTAAATCTGTATGTTAGCTTAGGAAAAATTGGCATCTTGATGTTGAGTCTTCTCATTGGTGAATATGCTATAGATTTATCCACTTAATTCTTCCTTGAATTTTTTCATCAGCATTTTGTAGCTTTCAGTGTACATGTTCTGTTAGATATACCTCTAACTATTTTACTTTTTTAATGATTGTATGTAGCATTGTATTTTTACCTTTGATGCCCCCACGTTCATTGCTAATATGTACAAATAAGACAAATTTTTGGAAGTTTATGTTGTATCTTAATACCATGACAAATTCAATTGTCAGTTTTAGGAGTTTTTTTAAGATACTTTGGATATTTTGTGTGGAAAACCATGCCATCTGAAATGGGGACAATTTTATATATTTGTTTTCATCTGTATGTATTTCATTTCTTTTATTTGCCTATTGCACTGGTTAGAAGTTCCAGAATTATATGTTGAATAAGAGTGATGAAAACAGCTATCCTTTTTTTCTTCTTAATCTTATGGGAAAAACATTTAGTCTTTTAATATTAAGTGAAATTCTAGCTTTGGATTTCTGTAAACTTTTAAGAAATGAAAAATTTTGTCAAATACTTCTATCAGGTAATTTTTCTTCTATAGCTTGTTAATATAGTATACCAATGGATAGATTTTTCAATATTAAACTAACCTTGCATTTAAGAAATAAACCCAGGTTGGTAATGGTATATTATTCTTTTTATGTATTGCTCAATTATATTTGCCTATATGTCACATGCACACAGACACACACACACACAACATTTTCTTATATTGTCTTTGCCTGTCATTGGTATCAAGGTAACACTAGCTTTATAATATGAATTGAAAAATATTCCCTCTTATATTTTCTGGAAGAATTTATATAGAATTTAGTGTTAATTCTCTTTTAAATGTTTTGTAGAATTCTCTAGAGATATCATGTGGCTGTTGGAATTAATTTAATTTTTTGGAAGATTTTTATTTACAAATTTAATTTCCTTAATAGTTACAGGGCTCCTCAAACTACCATTTTATGCTGGCTGATATGTATCAGTTTGTATATTTTGAGAAGTTCGTCCATTTATTCTAAGTTGTCAAATTTATTTTTGTAGAAATGTTTCTAATATACACATGTCATTTTTGATGTCTCAAGGTCTGTAGTGATATTTTCTGTTTCATTCCTGATTTTAGTAAAATATATTCTTTCTTTCTCTCTCTCTTCTTTGTCACTCTTGCTAGAGGTTTGCCCATCATGGTTTCTAAGAGTTAACTCTCTGTTTCAAACATATATTCTATCATTCTGTTTTTCTATTTACAGTTTCATTTATTTCTTCTCTTATCCTTATTATTTTCTTCCTTCTGCTTTGGGTTTACTTGGCTCTTCTTTTTCTAGGTTACTGATATGGAAGCTTGGGTTACTGATTTATCATATTTCTTCATCTCAAATGTATGTATTTTGTGCTATAGATTTTCCTCTCAGCACTATTTTAGCCACATTTCACCATTCCGATACATAGCATTTTCCTTTTCATAGTTCAATATTGTTTATTTTTTCTTGAGACTTTCTCTTCTACCAATAGAAATTTTTTGGACCTGTTTGGTATAGTTGTCAAGTGTTTGTAGATGTTCCCGATATTTTTCTATTATTCATTTCCAGTTTGATTCCTTGGTCACAGAATGCAATATGTATTATCTCAATTTTTTAAAATTTGTTCAGATTATTTTTAAGACCCTAGACATGTTCTACATTGGCACATGTTCCATGTACACTAAAAAAATGTATATTCTGATTATTTTGGGTGAAATATTTTATAACTATTTATTACATTATGTTTGTAAATAGTTTTTATGGTATTTCTATAGGCTGATTTTCTATTATTTATATAAATTGCTGAGTAAAGGGTGTTAAAGCCCAACTATAATTGTGGATTTATGTACTCATTTTAGTTCAGTTCTCACTCTCTCTCTTCCCTTCGGTTTTTATTTCACATATTTTGTTACTCTACTGTTTGGTATTGTATAGTGTCATATTTACGATTCCTATATCTTTGTGGAAGATTGAAACATATATCATTATATAATGTCTATCTCTGGAAAGGTACTTTGTTCTGAAGCCTACTTTATCTGATATTAACATCTGATGTTAATATGCTTTCTTTTGATTCATCTTTTCCCCTTTAATTTCAACCTGACTATATCTTTATATTTGAGGTGAGTTTCTTATATACAGAAAGTCCTTGGATTATTTTTTTATTAGTGGACATGGAGGTGATTTTTTTTATCTACCCTGCCAATCTCTGTATTTTAACTAATGTATTTAGACCACTTACATTAATGTCATTGTTAACATATTAGAACTTAAATATGCCATTTCACTTTTTGATATTTTTTTTCTATGTTTGTCTCTTCTCTTTCTTGCCTTTCTGTAGAATACTTGAACATTTTTTGGAATTCAATTTTGATTTATCTAATCTGCTACTATCCTGATTTTATAAATTCATATATAGTATATATACCATACCTCCCTTTCAGTCTCTTTAAACTCCTCCATTAGTAATATAATTTTCTTAAATATTTTCACTATGTACACTTATAATCAAATTAGATAATTTTTGCTTCAACCATAAAAGGTTTAGAAAATTCAAGAGACGTATTTTTTTTTTGTATTTTTGCTACTGATTCTTTCTTTTTTCCTTATATTTCAACATAGCATCTATTGCCATTTGTATTTTGTTTAGGGAACTTCTTTTCGTCATTTTTTTAGGGTAAGTCTGCAGAAATGAAATTCTCTCTGTTTTTCCTCATTTGAGAATATCTTGATTTCCTTTTCATTCCTAAAGGATATTTTCACCAAGTTTAGGATTTGGGGTTGAGAATTCTTTCCTTTCAGCATTTAAAAATGTTGTGCTACTTGTGTCTGGCCTCCACGGTTCCTAATTAGAAATTCACTGTATCTGAATTTTTGTTCATCTATAGGTAAGGTATGACTTTTTCTCTCTCTCTCTCCCCTTGCTTTCAAGATTTTTCTTTGTATGTATTAATAGTAGTAGAAGTTTTATGGTGTGTCTTCGTGTGAATTTCTTTGGGTTTATCCTGTTCAGAATTTGCTAAGATTCTTGGATTTGTAAAATTATGTTTTTTTGTCATATTTGGGAAGTTGCAGTCATCAAGTACTTTTTGATCCCTGCTGTGTTTATTCTCTCCTTCTGGAATGCCAATGACATAAATGTTAGATATTTAATTAAAGTCCATTGGGGTCCAGAGACTTTCTTAATTTTGTAATTGCATTATTTCCTTGTTGTTCAGATTGGGTAATTTTCATTGTTCTATCTTTCTGTTCACTGATTCCTTCCTCCTTCCCCTCCATTCTGCTCTGAACCCATGAACTGAGTCATTTGTTTTGGTTATTGTATTTCTTCAGCTCTGAAATCTCTATTGGTTTCTTACAAACCTATTTTGTTTTTTGCTGAGACTTTGATATGGTTAAGCTTTGTGTCCTCACCCAAATCTCATCCAGAATTATAATCTCCATAATCACTGCTTGTCAAGGGAGACATCGGGTGGAGGTAACTGGATCATGGGGTGGTTTCCCCCATGCTGTTATGATGATAGTGAGTGAGTTGTCACGACATCTGATGGTTTTACAGTGTTTGGTAGTTTCTCCTTCATTCATTCTCTTTTCTGTCACCTTGTGAAGAAGGTGCCTTGCTTCCCCTTCGCCTTTGCCATGTTTGTAAGATTCCTGAGGCCTGCCCAGCCATAACTGTGAGTCAATTAATTCTCTTTTTTTAATAAATTACTCAATCTCAGGCAGTTCTTTACAGCAGTATGAAAAAGGACTAATACAGACTTTCTATTTTTTTGATACTTTCTTTTTTTGTTTCAAGTATGTTCATAATTTCTTATTGAAACATTTTATTATGGCTGCTTTAAAATATTTTTTGGAAGGTTCTAACATCCATGTCATCCTGATGTTGACATATATTGATTATTTTTCAGTATGCAATCTTCCTGGCTTTTGCTATAACAAGTTATTTTCTACTGAAGTCTGGATATATTGGGTATTATTCTGAATTTTATTTAACCTTTTGTTTTTGCTGGCTTTCTCTGGCACTGCTTCAGCAGAGGAAGGGAGATATATTGCTTCATTATTGCCAGGCAGTGGTAGAAGTCCCAGTTCTTCACTTGCTCTTTATAGACACCTCAGGGGGTGGCTCCTTTTTATGGCTGGGTATTTGGAAATTCTGTCTTTCTACTGGGCCTCCACTGATGCCTCCTTGGCTGGGAGGGGTAAAAGTGCCTGGTTATTGCTTCCCATGTGGCCTCACTGAGACCACAGTGCAAGGGCAGTCTTTGTTAATGTTCAGTTGCTAGCGAATGTTCTGAGTCTCAACTAGGCCACCTCTGACAGCACCTCGGTGGGTCGAGGTGTCACCTCTTTACTGATGGGTGGAGATAGAAGTTCAGGTTCCCCAGGTGATTATCAGCCACATCACAGCAGAGGAAGCTCGTTATGGTGTTCTTGAAAGGAAAGTCCCAGGTCCCTATTTGACCTTCTCTGACATTATCCCAGTGCTGGTGTGAGGGAGCCTCATGAGACTAGGCTCACCACTAGGCTTTTTTGTTTGGTGTGGATGGAAGTGGAAATACAGTTTTTCTGTGGTGTTTGGCTAGAATAGAGCAGTTATCTAAATGTTTTTGCCTTGCTAGCTCACACTCTTCCTGGTCCTTTGACAAAAGAGAGATTGCTTTCATTCAAGCTTTTTTTGACTGTATCAATTGGTGTTTCTAGGTTGCCAGCTTCTTCAGCTCCATGTCTGAGATATGTGAGGTAAAAGAACAAAAAAAAAAAAAAAAAAGAGAAAGAAACAAAGAAAACCTAGGGAATTCACCACCATCTCATGCCTTGAGTACCAAGGTCTTTAGTTGGTCTGCCTATTTATTTTCATTTCAGTCTTTTTATGTTTGTTTTAGATATAATGTTCAGGATTTTGGGTTGAATAGGGAAAAGTACATTTACTCCATATTCCAAGAAGCAGAAGTGGATTAGCATAAGCTATTTTGTATGGAACTCTAACTGTTCTGAGTTCCTTTCTTTGCTTTATTGCAAACATTTTCTCTTACCTTCTGCGGGTGTTTGAAGATAAAGCCCTCCTTTAAAAAAAGAATTGCTCACAGTCACTAGTAATTTGGGGTATGTGTTTAATGCTCTAATGAAAAGTAAGAGAATAATAAGATGATTTGGAGTGGAGGGTAAATAGAGAGTAAAACCAAGAGGATTCTACGGAAAAGGAATAAATTACTAAAGATTATCAGGTGAGTTTGATGTCTAAGAAACAGAAGAAGATAAGAAAGTACTGATAACTCCCCCCCTTGCTACCCCCCACCACAAAAACAAACAAACAAAAAACAACCAGTGAGATTTGCCATAGAAGGAGCAATGCTACCAGCAGAAACTTGCATTGACTTCCCAATTTATGGGAAGATTATACATCCCCATCTCATTGAGCCCAGGAGTGACCGCATGACGTGGTTTCATTAATGAAATGTTGGAAGAAATAAAATGTGTATACTCTGATCAGAAGTACAGAAGCCATCTCATGGTTCACATGTCTGGTTTTTGCTGTCTGTAGGAAATGTTCCAGCTAAAGACTACTTTGTCAGCCTGGATTATGGAACAAAGACAACACAGAACAAAGCCAGGTCAGATCCACAATGCAAATAAATTTTAAGTGAAAAATGAACATTTGTTATTTTACTCCACTGAAAGTTTGGGGACATTTTTCAGTTTAGCATAACTCAACTTATCTTTTTTGTATTAATTTCTGATTAACGTAGGGCTGTGCACCTGTTCACTTACATGTCAAGTCTGAGTATCTCAGAAACACTATTATTGCGATTTTTCTCTTGCTCCCTCTCAATTTCCCTTTCTTTACTGTCTCAGTCCCATCAGCATGAAAACATACTAAAATCATAACTATGCACCTAAAAGGAATTCTTCCTGTATACCAGCTATTGTACTGTATCCCTGTTCCTCTTTACAACAAAGCCCCTCCAAAAAGCTATTTATAATTTCAGTGTTCGTTTCTTCTTCTTACATTATCTCTTATTCTTATCAGAGTATTTTTCATATCATTTCTCAAAATACCAAAGTCAACAGTCAATGATCAATCCTTATCTTACTTGGTTTATCAATAACAATTGTCATTTCATAGCTCCTTCCTTCTTAAAGCACTTCACTTGGTCTTTGATTATCTTCCTACTCCTTCACTCTTTTATCCTCTATTCCCTCCTCTTCTAATCATTGAAATGCTCAAGGTCAGACTTTGGACCCATTCTAGTTTTACCCTTTTAAAGCAATGTATGTATTAGTATATTATAAGTACTGCCAACTCTACATTTCCACATCCAGGTTAGACACTATCCACAAAATCCAGACTCATATATTCTACTGCCAAATCAGCATCTCCATTTGACTGTCTTATAGACATCTCAACCTAATCAGGTCATAAATAGAACTCTTGACTAGTTCCCTCAAACTAGTGTTTCCTACAATCTTTCTTATCTTATAGATGGCACCTCCATTCCTTCAGTTGCCCAAGCCAAAATTCCAGAGTCATTCTTGACTTTTAATTTACTCTCATCTCATGACAATATGTCAACAAACATAAGCCTTCAAAAGCCAGAGTCTCATTACCCTCTGACAACCTTCATTTCTACCACCCTGATTCAAGCTATCATCATCTCTTACCTATTCTGCCTGTGTCAATGCTTGCACCCTTATTGACTATTCTCTTCACTGCAGTACAGATTGTTTTAAATATACAATCATAATACAAAATCAGATTATAAGACTTCTTTCCTTATTTCATAGAATAATATCCAAAGTCTTTACTATGACACATTATTCCTTGCATGATCTGGCCTCCTGTTTGCTTTTTGATTTCACATTTATTCCACTCCATCCAGTCTGACCTCCTGTCTAGACATGATCCTACCTTGCATTGTATTGGTCATTTCTTCTTCCTGGGATGCTACTGCATAAGATACAAGCAAGGCTTGCATTGTTTCTCCCGTGTGCTCTGCACACAAATATCAAATCTTTCAGGAGGCCTCCCCTGATTACCTTGTATAAAATAGCCCTGACTCATTATTCTTTATGATTTATTTTTCTTTAAATTACTTATTAACATCTCACCTAATGGATATATATTTGGTGAGTGATTATTCTCCCTACAATAGAATGTGAATTCCTTGAAGATGAAGACCTTTTATGTTTTGTTTTGTTTTATTGCTATATCCCTGATACCTAACACAAACAGTTGAAGTATTCAAAATATATTTGTTGATTAAATGAATTAATTTATGTCTTTTATCAAATTCTCTTTTTCTCTTTAACAATTGACACCATGATGCTAGAAGCTGTTGTTTGTATTATGTTTCTATATTATTTCCATAACTTCTCAGTGACTTCTCTAGTTAAACTATATTAAATATTCCCATTTGATCTAATGCTTTTTGCCTTGAATTCAATTTTTTCTTATATAACTATAATCATTGCTGTCTCTATGTGTTTTTATTTCTATAATAATTTCCACATTCTTATACAGGTTGAGGATCCCAAGTCAGAAATTCAAAGAAGTCCAAAACCTGAAATTATTTTGAGCACCGACATCATGCTTAAAGGAAATGCTCATTATAGCATTTTGAATTTTAGATTTTGGGATTTTTGAATATTCAACCTGTAAGTATAATACAAACATTCCAAAATCAAAAAGAATTCAAAATTCAAAATACTTCTGATCCCAAACATTTAGGATAAGGGATGCTCAATCTGTATTTTAAATTGTTACATGTTTCTTGTAAATATCTTCTAAATTGATTTTTTTATTTGTTTGTTTTTATTTGTATGCATTTAAGGGGTACAAGTGAAGTTTTGTTACATGGATATATTGCATAATGATAAAGTCTGGATTTTAGTGTAACCATCACCCACTAAATGAATTGTGTGATGACTTTAGAGAAACTTTTCATGGGAAAGTATACTTTAAACATTAGAATCATTATTATTTGGAGTCAGTTATTCATCTCATTTTGTGTGTGTATCATATTTCCAAGTGGTATACATTTTTCTTTTTCGAAATTTGCCAAGCTGGATATATTTTATGTTACTTCCTTTTCTCTCTTTTGTTTGGAGACATATATACACATACATATATATATGAATATACATATATATGAATATATACATATACATATATATGAATATATACATATATATGAATATATATACATATATATGAATATATACATATATATGAATATATATACATATATATAATATATACATATATATGAATATATATACATATATATAATATATAATATATATGAATATATATACATATATGTATACATAATATATATGAATATATATACATATATATGTATATATATATGAATATATATACATATACATATATAAAATATATATATACATATATGAATATATATACATATACATATATAATACATATACATATATATGAATATATAATATATGAATATATATACATATATAATATATATACATATATATGAATATATATAATATATATGAATATATATACATATATAATATATATACATATATATGAATATATATACATATATAATATATATAATACATGAATATATATACATATATAATATATAATATATATTATATATGAATATATATACATATATAATATATATGAATATATATACATATATATGAATATATATATGTGAATATATACAATATATATGAATATATACATATATATGAATATATACATATATGAATATATGTAATATATATGAATATATATACATATATGAATATATATACCTATATACATGTATATGTGTATATATATACACAAATGTAATAATTATGTAACATATTTATCTACATTGTATTATTGACAATAATTAGTATCTACACTGTATCCCTTGAATGAGTTAAGATGTTACCATATATTTTATCTTTCCTTTTTCATTTCCTAGATTTTGTTGAAATAATTTGTAATTTTTGTTCCAGATTGTCAAATCTGCATTATCAACATTTATTTAGAATTAACTATGACTTTACATGATTACGCTCAACACAATATTTTATATACTAAACTTTACTCTTTTTTTCAAATTTACTTATTTTTTGATGAAGTATATTAAGCAAAAACCAGATTTAGGTTTGGGCATAAATGTTTTAATTCCTGATTAAGTCTAAAATTTGGTTTATTCTGTCCTCATTTGTGAAGCTTAACTGAAATTGGGTTTTAACTATAATGTTCTTCTCCTTCAGCACATGTAGACATCACTTTATTGATTTGTTTCATCCTGTGATGCAGATTAGAAACAATATATGTCTGATTATCAATCTATTACAGAACAAATCTTTGTTCATCGTGGATATATATGAATGAGCTTTTAGTTTGATTCCTATTAGAAGCTAAAGTGTATTTCCTACATCTAAGCAAAATGTCTTGTCTGCTTTGCAGTGAATAAAGAACTAAAGTTCCAAGAGTCACCTGGGGGAGTGTTGAGGGAAGGGAAACAAAGCTCCTGGAGTTTTCTTTTAGAGAAGAGAAGAAGCATGCCTTTCCAGTGTTGGAAGCTCCTTACCTGTCCTTAAATTTATGTGGGGCAGAGCCTGATACTTTCTCTGTCTCAAAGCTCACTAAGACAGTGTCCTCCTATAGATCTCCAACTTTATCTGGAGAAATGGGCTCAGTCGTTAACCTGTGGGTAAACACTAAGCCAGCCTCCCAGAAGCTGGAGCATGAAGGCGTTGATCAATCATCCTATGCAACAGCTCACAGCCCACTTGCTCTCCCAGACCTTGATGCCTTTAATCATCATGTTATTCTAGGGTTTTTCTGGGAAAGGTCACTTTGGGGAAAGTATTTCTTTCTTCTGTATAGGCCACTGGTTCTTTCTAGAAATTCCTTAATTAGGGGGAGGGTGGTTTCCTCTAATTACCCTTTTAGTTAAAACTCATATTGTTATTTTAGTGGTTATAAATTAATGTTTTAAGTATGTTATATCCTAAAATAATAGTTTGTATTTACATGTGGGTGTTTCCCTGTGTTTTATCTGTATTTTAAGAAATTGGTTGGGAGGATTATCATAATTTGTATCATTTAAAATGAGAAATAGGCCAGGTGTGGTGGCATGTATCTGTAGTCTCAACTACTCTGGAGGGTGATGGAGGAGGACAGCTTAAGCCCAGGAGTTCTGGACTGCAGAACACTATACTGCTTGGTGGCTGCACTAAGGCACTGAGTTCGGCATTAATATGATAACCTCTCTGGAGCAGGAGACCCCCACATTGCCTAAGGAGAGGTGAACTGGCCCAGGTCAGAAACAGAGCAGGTCAAAACTCCCATGCTTTGTTCTCACTTATAAATGGGAGCTGAACAATGAGAACACATGGACGCAGGGAGGGGAACAACACACACTGGGCCTGCCGCGGAAGGGCAGGGGTCAGTGGGGGAGAACATTAGGAAAAACAGCTAATGCATGCTAGGCTTAATACCTACATGATGGGTTGATAGGAGCAGCAAATCACCATGGCACACATTTACCTATGTAACAAATCTGCACATCCTGCACATGTATCCCAGAACTTAAAAAAATACAGTACAATACAATAACGAACAAATAAAACATACAACACATAAAATTTAAAACATCTTGCAACTTAAAAAAAAACTCCCATGTTGATTAGTAGTAGGATCACACCTGTGAATAGCCACTGCACTCCATCCTGGGCAATATAGTAAGACTCTATCTCTAAATAAAATAAAATAAGAAACTGGCTTCTAGTTAGATTTTTGTGGAGAATGTTTTGTCTTTACAGATGGAGTACTGATTTAAGCAGAACCTGTGTTAATATTTTTGATTTTTAAATTTTTTTCCTGCCATTTAAATGTGATTTATAAAATGGAGAGAGATAACCTTTAGTTCCCGGTTAGATATATTAAGTTAGAAACGTGTAAACTCTAATAAAACTATGTGTTCTTCAGTCTCTTATTCTCAGCCTCTTTACACCATTGATAGCATAACAAAGGCTAGAGCTTGTGTTATATGTAATATGCAATCATTCAGAACCCTACCACATGGGACTTGGCAAGAATCCACATTGTATAACAAAAATGACCTTAATTGTATGCATAAAATAGGGCAATCTAAAATCTTCACATTCCTATCTATATATTCCTTTTCTTGTGGGGCTGTAACTGAATCTATGCAAAGATCACTAGCAAATGCATTCTGAAATACATAGCTGGCAACAAAAGGAATGATAGAAAATGTATTAAATAAGCATTAAGTATTTTGATTTGAAAAAAGAATATTAAATCCTAAGAGGAGAATAGAGGACAGATATTCAGGAATTTTTCTACACCTCACTTTACTAAAATTTGTACTGATTCATGTTAAGCATCTGGCTGAGGCCCCAGGTCAGTACAATTTTAACTTATGAATAGTCTTCAATCAAAAAAGTAATAGAAAGTTTCTTATAGCTCTCAATAGTAAGAATAAGTGTTACATAAATGCATTATTCTTAAGCCTATGACAGTCCATGGAAGTCATTTATAGCTCTCATTCTCAACCATTATGTGTGTTAAAAATGAATATGTCACAGCTTAAAGGATATTAAATGTCCAGTGTTCGAGAGTTTCAATTTATTTTCTATTAATCTAAATATCTTTCAGTTTAGGAAACCAAAGTATGTTTGCTTGTTTGTTTGTTTGCATATTTGTTTAATTTATAACTATAAACCTTCCCTACTTTTAGAAAGGATTTGAATCAGCTTACTCAACAAAAAAAGCACCATACATACAATAAAGCCCTTTAGAATGGAAATAGAAATAATAAACTAAAAAAAGGAAACATGGACGAAGCAAAAAATCCAGCAAATGGGGTTTCTATACATAGTTGATTTTAATTTATATTAGGTTTAAGCTGTTTTATTTTTGAGACAAGACAAAAGAAAGAATGAGAGAATAATGTGAATTATTATTTCAGTTAATATTTTTGCATCAAGGAAAAAGTGAAAAGCAGTGGCAAAGAGAAAAATAAAAAACATTTATTAAGTGCCTACTTTGTGATAGAAATTGTGTTAAGACACACAAACATATATATTGCCAAAAAGACCTCATGTCATCTTGAAAATTCTTTGAGCTATAAATATTATTCTCATTTTACAGTTAAGAAAACTGAGCTTCCAAAAGGTGAATAGTTTTTCAAAGTTCCCATTACAGGAAGGTGATATGCCAAGGATTGAATCTTGGTCTTGTTACACCAAAACAGCTTTCAAAGACCATAAGGAAGAGCTTTAAAAATGAATATAATTTCAGGATATCCACATGAACGCATATACATGCATCCAATATATACACACACAGCATATAGAATATCAAAGAGCATCTCTCCATATTCAAAAACTGGGAAAGAAATGATACATCACTTTGGTCTGTAGGTAATCTCTCGTCTTGGCTATTAAAGGACAAGTTAGGGAAAGTTAGGATGTGGTAGAGCAAGGATCTTCTTTCCTTTCCTTACAGGAAGATATTTCTGACTCAGCAAATAATATCAAGTTGAATCATCATCTCAAGACTACAAAGTGGATTTTACACAAATGTATCACAATCCATTTTCTGTAAGTTATTATGGCCATGCTGAGGTGTTTCTCAGATCACAGCTGGGGATGAAGGAGAGGCCCAGAGAGTTGAATTTCTTCTGGTTTCTCCCTCATCCTCTTTGAAAATAGCAGTTCTATTTACAAGTATTTTATATATTGGCACTAGCATTAGCTAGCTATTGCTGTGTAACAAATTATTCCTAAGCTTAACCACTTAACATTTATTTATTTTCTTACACAGTTTTGAGAGTCAGCAATCTGGGAGCAGCTGAGATGTGTTGTTATGATTCAGGGTCACGCATGAGGTTGCAATTAAGATGTTGGCCAGTGCTGCACCATCTGGCCCCAGGATGACTAATTAACATGGCTGTTAGCTAGAGGCCTCAGTTCCTTTCCACATGGGCTTCTTCATATGGCTGGTGCTCATGACATGGCAGTTAGCCTCTTTCAGAGTGAGTGACTCAAGAGAGGGAGCAGTGTCCTTCTTGACCTAGTTGCTCCCTGCCATTTCTGCCATATTCTATCTATTAGAGATGAGTCACTAAGTCTAGCCCACACTCAAAGCAAGAAGAATTAGACTCCACCTGCTGGAGGAAGGAGCATTGAAAAATTTGTAGACGTATCTTAAAATCACAAAATAATTCCACATAAGATGCCATTTTTAAGTGTTTTGCAGCTTTAAAAACAAAAGGTTAGAAAATATTTCTCTGAATTAACTTCATTAATGTACATGACAATTCAATTATATTCCCATTTAGTCATTACAAAGCTTGTTCTTAAGAAACCTTGTTAGGGGAAGATAGAAAATTGTGAAATCAGCAATCAGCAGTATAAGAGATGGTCTAAAATTTTATGAAATATCTCATAAATATTAAGTAATATTTAAATGCTTTTGAGAATCTCTTCATCTCCTATACAGATTGCATTATTGTTTTACATATTTAATTTGTATGACATATAGAGGAAGCTCTAAAGAAGTGTGAACTATCAGTGAAATATAACCTGGGCTTTTGGCCATGAAACAATCACACTGAGCAGATAAGTGCTGATTGTCGATGCTAACATATTTTCTGAGATCAGTGATACAGATGATTTTTAGCTTTATTCTTTCTAGTAATACTAAGTTTAGATATCTATCTTATAGCTCAACTTGAGCATTAAGGGTCAGAAATTGAAATTGAAAGAATACAGCTATAAAGTTCAGGAATTAATTGAATGGGCATTGTTGAAATCCAAATTAGTAACCTGAAAGATTAAGAGATTAAAACCACTGAAGAATTCCACATAAGATGCCAGTAAAAAAAAGATTAAGATTTTGCCATAAGATAATGCAAAAATAATAATAAAGAAGAAGGGAAATAATAAGAAAACATTAGAGAGTTGGAGGATAAATCCAAGAGTACTAACCACAAATAATAGGTAATCCAGAAAGAAAAAGCAACACATGAACATAGAAAAACCGTGATTAAATAAATTTTTAAATTTTTTCTGAGAAAAAAATTTAGGAAAGAACTGTAACCAGAAATACAAATGTTAGGATGGAGACATCATTATAAGAGAAGAAACTGAATAAGGGCAAGCAATTAACTTTGCAGAGCACACAGTTCAATTTAAATGCATAATGATACAGTGGCTGCAAATACATAATTTAAGCACTCGGTAAGGCTTGTTGGCATAGAAAATACATACTGTTGGTGAAAACATCATAATAGTCTGGTGCTAAAAGTACGAAGATATCTCAGAAAAAGATAAACAAATGAATAGATCATTAAAAAAAGGATAGGATGTAGAGGTAGACTATTCTCAATATCTCTTTTTGGACAATAAGGAAACAGAAAAATATAGTTTATTATGAGGAGAAATTATTTATAAATTACTTTCATATAGCAGATAAATGTATTTTACTATGACAAAGGTATGAAGCCATTAGAGCAATAGAATATACAATAAAACTCCAAAATAGCAGCTTGTCCCCACCAGTAAAAATAAAATGGCAAAAGGTAAACAATAATGTAATATAAACAGTAGACATACATGAACCAGAAGAAAGAAAATCTATTATATCCATTGTTATGCTAAATATAAACAATAACAGCATTCACACTTTTGTATGGAAAAGGTATTATGAAAGAAAACAAAGAAATCATTCTTGTAGTCACACTTATAACGGGTCATTATTTATGAAGGACATTGGATGGGAAAACGTGGAGAGAGACAGGAAGAAAGGGAGGAAGAAGAGAGCTTGGGAAGGAGAGAGAAATCCTATAGGACTTCACTGGAAACTTCCTCCCATGCTTATTAGAATTATTCACCCAGTCCAGGTACAGTGGCTCCTGGCTCTAATTCCAGCACTCTGGAAGGCCAAGGCAGGAGGATCACTTAAGCCCATGAGTTTGAGGCTGCTGAGAGCCATGATCACACCACTATACTCCAGCCTGAGTGACAGAGGAGACTGTCTCAAAAGCAAAAACTAAAACAAAAGCAGTAAGAACTATTCATCCAGCTACAAATTAAAAGGAAAAATTTATGTTTAAAAAAAAAATTTTAAGTTCCGGAATACATGTGTAAAATGTGTAGGTTTGTTACATAGATAAACATGTGCCATTGTGTTGTACTGCACCTATCAACCCATCACCTAGGTATTAAGCCCCACATGCATTAGCTACTTAACTTGATGCTCTCCCTCCCCTTCCCCATCCCCGCATAGGCCCCAATGTGTGTTTTTCCCCTCCGTGTGTCCATGTGTTCTCATTGTTCAGCTCCCACTTACAAGTGAGAACATGTGCTGTTTGGTTTTCTGTTCCTGCATTAGTTTGCTGAGGATAATGACTTCCAGCTCCATCCATGTCCCTGCAAAGAACATTATCTCATTCCTTTTTGTGGCTGCATAGTATTCCATGGTGTATATGTACCACATTTCTTTTTTTTTTTTTTCCATTGCCATGATTATTTTTTATTGATGCTCAAATGATCCCATCCTTGACTAGTGAGAGGAGCCCCTTCAAGTTGGTTTCTGAAGACTTTTTATAGTGTCCTTCCTTTTTGGTATGATGATATGTTTAGGTTCATCTTATGCATCTTCTGTCTCAGCCCTCAGTCATTTCTTCAGGGAGCTCTTGTTCTTTTCAGCAGGAAAGGATATATGGAGGCACATTTGGATGCTTGAACATGGATGACAGACTTTTTAATAGATGCTTATCAGAATATCTGTAGAGTCCAAAAATGTCTTCTTTCACCTTGAATTTGAATGGAGAGAAATTCAATTTTTTCTTTTATGAAATATGGAGTGTTTTCGTTCGTTGTTAGAGAAAAAGGAAAACAAAGGTTTTAGATAGAAATAAAATGAAGCCTTAACTCCCCTTTAAAATGGATTGTCCTCTCTGCCATACTTTGTTCATCATGTCCAGTGAAGAGAGATGCTAATAAGCCTTTCATATTTCCAGCTACGTAAAAACCAGGCAGTGTTTAAAGATTATCATTATAGCATTTGTTTGATATATTTCTTAAGTCTTTTTTTATCTCCAGGTCCCCCGTCCCTGTAGGCTCCCCTCTCACAGACACAAGTCTTCTTCCTGGCATTTTTAGGAGGGCCTGGCGTTTTGTTTGGATAATTTTGCTTTATTATCTATCCTCAGCTTATACTGCATCACTAGTGAAAATCTTAGTTTTGTGTTTGGTGTAAGTAATGTGTTTCTGGATATTTTTATCATAAAAACTCATTTTATTATACATAAGAGATGGAAATATATCATTAGACTGATTGTATATTTAAATTATGAATCAAGTTAGAGGAGAATGGAATATTGCCCCCTTATGGGAAGACTCTGGAATGTAGAATTTTTTTTAATTTTTCTTTTTTTTTATTATTATTATACTTTAAGTTTTAGGGTACATGTGCACAATGTGCAGGTTAGTTACATATGTATACATGTGCCATGCTGGTGTGCTGCACTCATTAACTCGTCATTTAGCATTAGGTATATCTCCTAATGCTATCCCTCCCCGCTCCCCCCACCCCACAACAGACCCCCAGAGTGTGATGTTCCCCTTCCTGTGTCCATGTGTTCTCATTGTTCAATTCCCATCTATGAGTGAGAACATGCGGTGTTTGGTTTTTTGTCCTTGTGATAGTTTACTGAGAATGATGATTTCCAATTTCATCCATGTCCCTACAAAGGACATGAACTCATCATTTTTTATGGCTGCATAGTATTCCATGGTGTATATGTGCCACATTTTCTTAATCCAGTCTATCATTGTTGGACATTTGGGTTGGTTCCAAGTCTTTGCTATTGTGAATAGTGCCGCAATAAACATACGTGTGCATGTGTCTTTATAGCAGCATGATTTATAGTCCTTTGAGTATATACCCAGTAATGGGGTGGCTGGGTCATATTTCTTTTATCCAGTCTATCACTGATGGGCACTTGGGTTGATTCCATGTCTTTGCTACTGTGAATAGTGCTGCAATGAACATATGCATGTGTGTATCATTATAATGATTTATATATATCTATATTTATATATTTATATATATATCTATATCTAATGATTGATATATATATCATTAGAATGATTTATATTCCTTTATATATCCAGCAATGGGATTGTTGGGTCAAATGGTATTTCTGGTTCTAGATCTTTAAAGAATCGCCACACTGTCTTCCACAATGGTTGAACTAATTTACATTCCCACCAACAGTGTAAAAGAGCTTCTATTTCTCCACAGCCTCGCCAGCATCTGTTGTTTCTTGACTTTTTAATAATTTCCATTCCCACTGGAGTAAGATGGTATCTCATTGTGGTTTTGATTTGCATTTCTGTAATGATCAGTTGTGTTGAGCTTTTTGTAATATGTTTGTTGGCCACATAAATGTCTTCTTTTGAGAAGTGTCTGTTCATGTCCTTTGCCCACTTTTTAATGGGGTTGTTTGTTTTTTTCTTGTAAATTCATTTAAGTTCCTTAAAGATTCTGGATATTAGACCTTTGTCAGATGGATAGATTGCAAAATTTTTCTCCCATTCTGTAGGTTGCCTATTTACTCTGATGATAGTTTCTTTTGTTGTGAAGATGCTTTTTAGTTTAATTAGATCCCATTTGCCAATTTTTGCTTTTGTTGCAACTGAAATCTTTGCCCGTGCCTGTGTCATGAGTGGTATTGCCTAGATTTTCTCCTAGGGTTTTTATAGTTTTGGGTTTTATATCTAGGTCTTTAATCCATCTTGAGTTAATTTTTGTACAAGGTGTAAGAAAGGGGTCCGGTTTCAGTGGAAACACTTATTTTAAAAGATATCACCAGAGTTGGGGAAGATTTTTTTAAAAGTTTGGAAGATGGATGGTGGTGACTGCACAACAACCTGAATATCCTTAATGCCATGGAGCTGTACCTTTAAAAATAGTTAATATAATAAATTTTGTTATTTATATCTTACCCCAAGGAAAAAGTTAACATCAGGATATTTGTGGTTTTAGTGTTCTAATAACTCTTAATGACATAGGAAAATATTAAGGGAACAAAAATTAAAAACAAAAGAAAGAGAAAAGAAAACCATAGCCACATTGTAGCAGTCCATCATTTAAGTTCAAATGCTAAACACAGAAAGTTTCCATTTGTTATTTTGAATGCCTACCATGCTCTTTTTTATTTAAAATGTGGCCTTTGCAACTAGAAAAGTAGTCCTGGCTCTCAGCTCAGAGCAATACTGAGGAAATGCTTAATGAAAGGATAAAGGATATGAATGCTTTTGTTCTAGATTCTTCTGCTTTTGGGTAGACACATATCATCTCATCTTCCCAGTTCTCTCTATTCCCCTAGTAGAAAGCCAAGAATGCTGCCACAGTAAATTCAAGATAAACCCTCTGTATTAGTTTGTTCTCACACTGCTATAAGGAAATATCCGAGACTGGGTAATTTATAAAGAAAAGAATAATTGACTCATGGTTCTGCAGGCTGTACAGGAAGCATGGCAGCATCTGCTTCTGGGGAGGCCTCAGGAAACACAGTCATGGCAGAAGGCAAAGGGGACGCAAGCTGGGCTTTACAAGGCTGGAGCAGGAGGAAGTTTGGGGCAGCAGGGAGGTGCTTCACACTTGTAAAACGACCAGATCTCATGAGAACTCACTCACTATACAGCACCAAGGGGGGATGGTGCTAAACCATTCATGAGACACCTACCCACATGATGCAGTCACCTCCCACCGGGTCCCACCTCCAACACTGGAGGGTACAACTCCACATGAGATTTGGGCAGGGACACAGATCCAAACCATATCACCTTCTATCTTCATGCAGCCCATACTCAGTGCATTAGTACCAGAGACTGGTGGCTTAAACAACAGAAATTTTATTTTCCCCCCATCCTGGAGGCTAGAAGTCTGAGAGCAAGGTGTCAGTAGAGTTGGTTTCCTCCAAGGCCTCCCTGCTTGTTTTGTAGATAGCCTTATTCTCCCTGTAGCTTCTCATGGTCTCGGCTCTGTGTGTGTCTGTTTCCTAACCTCCTCTTAGAAAAACACAAGTCATATTGGATTAGCAACCACCTTTAAGACCTAATTTTAATTTAATTACCTCTCTACAGATCCTTTCTCCAAATACAGTCAAATTCAGAGATAATGGGAAATTAAGACTTCGATGATTCAAATTTATGGGAACACAGGTTAGCACATAACTCCTGGCTTCCTTTATAGCTGCTTGCTGAGGATAGGAGGGACAACATTTCACTCCCCCAGACTTACCAATGAGCAGGCTGCCGGGAGGCATTTTGGGGTTCATCTTCCACTTGCAAAATCGATAAAAGAGACTGCTTAGAAGAACCAGGGCCAGGATATGTGGAATATTACTTCACCAGCAAAACAATAGCCTCTGATTATTATATTATGGCATTAACCTAAATGTTTTGTGCCAGGCCCTTGGTGAATATGGACCAGTGACAGAAATAAGAAAATACTTCTAAAAACCTGAAAGTTAGGATCTGAATCATCTTTTTTTCCTGATAGGTATGGCATTTCTCTCAGATCAAATTAGTAATTTTTTGTTTAAGTTGCAAATGATTAAGTTTTATTTAACTTTTAAAGATTTCAAAATACATATATTCTAGGGGGAGGGGGTGTAGAAAAGATAATATAGTCAGCTCCAGAAATATAGAATCAGTGTCTTTGAAAAGAAGTGTCTCAGTTTATTCATCCATCAAATATTGCTTCAGTATCTATCATATAAGAAGCACTCTACTAGTTGCTACAAACAACAATTACTGGAAGAGACCATCTTTGTCTTCTTGGAGCTTACAGCCTGGTGGGGAGGGATACTGTGGGCTATATAACCTCTTCACATCACACAAATCATATAAAATGATGGAATATTAAAGCTAGAATGAAAAGCATCAAATATTCTCAAACCTACCATGAATTTGAATCTTTCAAGGTTCTATAAAAGTATTGCTGCTTGAGAAACACTCAATTAAAAATTGATTGCTGAATAAACAGTTTTCCAAAGAAGGTATACAAATGGCCAATAAGCACATCATTAGCAACCAGGGAAATGCAAACCAAAAGCACATTGAGTTACTACTTCGTATGCATTAGGTTGGCTATAATGAAAAGGACAGGTAATAACAACTGTTCTTGAGGAGAAAATGGATCCATCACTGCTTGTAGAACTGTAAAATGCTACAGCATTTTACAATCTAGACACGCCACAAAATATTAAACATATTCACCATTTACCCAGAAATTCCACTCCTAAGTATATATCCCAAGGAAATAAAAAACATGTTCATACAAAAACTTGTTAACACACATTCATAGCAGCATTCTTCATAATAGCCAAAAAGTGAGAACAACTCAAGCATCAATCAAGTGATGAATTGGTGAGTAAATGTGGTATATCCACACAATGAAATATATTTAACAATAGAAAGGAATGAAGTTCTGATTCATGCTGCAACATGGACAAACATTGAAACATTATGCTAAATGAAACAAGTCAGTCACAAAAGACAACATATTGCATGATTCCATCTGTATGAAATGTCCAGAAAAGGCAAATGTATAGATACAGAAAGATAAGTGGTTCCCTAGGGTTTCTGAGAAGTTGGAGGGAACTGGGACCTGACTGCTAGTTGGAATAAGGCTTCTAGGCAGCTTGTTAGTCAAGTGGTATGATTCTTGTTTGCAGGGGGTGTGGGAATGAGGCTTCTTTTTGGAGTGGTGAAATTGTTCTAAAATTGTGACAATGATTGCACAATTTTGTGAATATATGAAAAACTGTATACTTTAAACAGATGAATTGTATGCTATGTGAGTCCATCTCAATAAAGCTGTTATTTCTAAAATGCCAATTGCTTCCATTTTACATTTCTTGTCAATATCATGTTAAATGAAATGAAAAAACAGGTGCGAAAATAGAACGGCCATTCCTGATATAAAGTAATCACCAAGATAACCCAGATTATGTATTTATTCTTTACAATTTCCATCAAAATCATGGCTCAATCTTAGCAAAGTCAGGGAAGGAATCACATTTTTCTAGTTCTCAGAACAATGTTCTTTCTAGTACACCACCATAACACTTAATAATTTCTCCTGATTTATCGCATTCACCAGATAGTACAGAGAATATCACTCCGTGGAATCCTGCAGTGCACTACACAAACAGCAGTACACAGTGACCCTGATTGGATCACCACTCCAAAATGTAAAAGAGGTCTATTATTAAGTATTTGAACTCTCAAAGGTTATATATGCCCTGATTTGCTTACTGGGACTAACCATATATCTTGCATTCTATTATCTTTGCCCAGGACCATAAAATCAGCATTAAGAAAATCAAAGCATTTACTGACAGCATTTACTGCAAGTTACCTCTCTGAAAAGAAACCAGTGAAATCAGGGACTGCTCACTAGGTGAATAAATGTGTCTTGGTGATTTTCTCCAGGTTAGCAACCCCATGCAACCTTCAAAAACAAACCTAAATCATTTTAGATTTAGAGGAATGTAACAAGTCAGCATATGATAAAATATGGTAATTTAATTTGTTTCTCTTAATTTAATTTTCACACGCCAAAGGTGCAGACTAAAAGGGTGTTAAAATGCAGGGAACAACTTTATAGAATTACCCTTGCTCCCTGTAAGAGGTTATGAAGATGACATTGGGGAGCATTTTCCTGAACCACTAAATTTTAATGCGTGGCTGATTTGGGCATTTTGAGATGAATTGAGTAAAGGGCTGATCTGATTTCCTTGAGATTTACTGTGAGCATAGATCAAAAATACACATCCTTGGTGTTTCCCTAAGGTCCTTCTGTTTTCTGTTTAGAAGGCAGGGCACTATATAAGTAAAATGCTGAATCATGTCCGGTCTATGGAGATGTTGAACACAATTTTTTTTAAATACTGATTCTTCTTCAACTGGTCCAGTGAATTAATAAAGAAATTTATTTAAATAATAGAGTAAGAAAATTGATATGTTTAATAACTTAAAAATCACGAAGAAACACAACTCATTCCCCAATAATAGTTATTAAAAAGTTAATATTACCTTTATTTTTTATCAGAAAGGTAATGCCTATGCCTTAAAGAAAAGGTTAAATATAAAGAACATTTTTACTATCCCAAGAGCCATTAGCATAAAACAACGTTAATGTGTTAGTGTATTTCCTCCCATTTCTCTTCCTCAAGTATGATCTGTTTTGTTTTTCAAAGCATCAACCATCTATTGAAACCATGCTGTTTATCTTTACAGTTTGGGTCCAATGTACAGTATTTAAATCTGAATGTCATGTTCTTTGCACACACATACACACACACACATGCACACACACGCTTCACCCATCATTCTCTGATCCAAAGGATAAGTACTATTGCTCTAGTTTTCTTACCTTAGCCAGAATATGTAACCATCCCTTTGAAGATAAAGAAGGTGGAAGATTCCAGAATTTAGAGCTGATTAGTCTGTTCCAAACAGTTCCCAAAACATGGGGTTGAAATGAAACCTGAAAAAAAGGCAATTGCCCCTGTCAATGCTGAAACATACCAGCAGCCTGTACAGTTCCAACGCTAATGCTTGGGCCTGAAACTTCTTTAGAAGAAGTTAATGCCTTTCCAGGCAGGTCACAGAATTTCTTTAAGATGGGAGGCAGGCAATCTTTCCATCAGTGATATAGGATCTAAGGATGTTTTACACCATCACTGGCCTTGGATTCCAATATTATAACTATTTGGATTCAGTCACAAAAGCCATTTTGCTGAAGCACAAGCCTTGCTTGCATAGAGTATATCCCTATGTCACCCATAAGAGAACAATACCATTTCCTTTGACCTGTAGTTTTAGAGCAGGAAAGAGCCTATTCAATCATGCTGTGCCTTTCTACTTTTATTGACATTTCATTTCTTAGGTCACATTGCTTTGACCTGATCCCAGGGCCTCACTCAGGGCTACGTCAGTCCAACTATCTTAGGAGAAAAGAGTTGGGTCTTGATCCTATCTCTCTGAAAAAGTTCCAGGGCACCTTATGTAAATGAGCTCATTAATTTCAAGACAAACTTCCAGTTGCAAAAATCATTGCTGTCCTTAAGGAGATACAATTTTGCCTCACCAAATCTAGTTACTATAAAGACAAGGCAACATCATTTGGCAATTACGAGCATGGGTTCTGAAGCCTCAATGTCTTGG
This sequence comes from Homo sapiens, assembly GCF_000001405.40. Classification (NCBI taxonomy): domain Eukaryota; kingdom Metazoa; phylum Chordata; class Mammalia; order Primates; family Hominidae; genus Homo; species Homo sapiens. Next base: position 162,796,600 of record NC_000005.10, read on the forward strand.
TTGAAATATCACCCTTGTCATTTATTTTCTTTATGACCTTTGTCAAAATACTACAAACGTTCTTTTCCTAGACTTCCTTATGTGCATAACAGGAATGATATCACTACTTCCTTTACAGAGTTGTTACGAGAATTCAATGAGGTTAAAAATGTAATGCACTTAGAAAAGTGTCATATAGTAAACACTGAGTACATGCTGGCTATCAGTATCTTGATTGTTTTTACTTATGATTATGAATATTTTGTTATTTTTAATGACTACCTATTTTGTATTGAATGAGTGTAAGTTTATTCAACAATTCTCTTATAATTGGACATTTAGTTTCTTTTCAGTTTTTACTATTAGAAACTATTATTTATTTGATGTAAATACCTTTGTGCATGATTTTTTCATGTTCAGTGGTTTTTTTGAGTTGCACTTCCCCCAAATGTAAATTAATAAATCAAGGAATAAATAGTATAAAGCTCCTGATATATTTTGCCAAAATATCTTACAGGACCACTCTGATTATTTTCACCAATTTTGGCACCAATTTAGTCTCAGAATTCAAAAGGAAAAATATGAAGAAGAAAAATGCATTTAGAAAAGTGTCATATCACAAACACTGAGTAAACACAAAAGAAGCACAAAGATCTTATATCAACATAGTTTATAATAGTAAAAACTGAAGAGAAACTAAGACTCTCCCAAAAGATTTTTTAAAAGATTTCAAACAAAACCACCATGAATTATTCTGGCTATTATTCCCCATCTTTTGTTCTGCAAGCAATAATCCTATGCCAAATTTATACGTAGATGTTCCTTGCTTTTGACTTTTCAGGGACCTGAATTTCAACTCAATAAAAATACAAAGTGGTAGCTGACCTGTAATATAAAGTCTCAGTTGATACACCTGTCAGTTAATATTGCTTAACCATGTACTCTGTCAAAAGCCCTACAATGAAATCTGGAGAAATGAAGGAGTGACTTAGAAGAAAATACCCTGAGATAAATCAGAAATACATATACTAATGGTAGCAGATAAAGAAAACTTAGAAAAACAAACTCCTTCCCTGCTGTCAAATGTTATTATAGAATAGCAGTACACCATAGTAATTAATCTAAGCGCTGGGATTAGACTGATTAGTGCGAATGTGAAGTCCATCACACACAAAAAATTTTACTTTGAGCTAATCTTACAGTTAAATTTAGATAAAATCACATGGTAGGTTGAATGTAAATTTTGATATGGAAATTACTGTGCATAGTACAGGTATGGCTGAATTCAGCTTGACCCCTAACATTCAGTTCCCTACCCCTCATAGAGATTTGGATGGGCATGTAGCCACACAGCTTTACCACATTCCCCAGCAAACCTTGCATCTGTGCTTGGCCACGTGATAAAGTTTTGGCCATTGGGATGTGAAAAGAAATTAAATGTACAATATCTGGATATTGCCTTTAAAAGGAGTGGCCGTGTGATAGAGTTTTTTGGCAATTGGGATGTGAAAAAAAAATTAAATGTACAATGTCTGGATGTTGCCTTTAAAAGGAGTGGGTGTGTACTCCATAGGCCTCTGACTCTTCCCACAGGCTGATACTTGGTGAGAAGTGGTTTACCCCAGGCAGAGGGGCCCATTGGAATCTTGGGGGAACTGCTCTTTGAATACGTATAATGAAAAGAATCTGAGTGCCAGAGATGAATTTTAGTAGGCACAATGATGTGTCCTTCAAGAAGACTTGTGGCCTCAGCTGCTAGGACTGACTGCAACTAAGCAGCCTTCAGCTGTTAGACCCTTAAGGGATTTCCTCAGTGGTAGAGAGTCACTGAGTTCAAGGATACACCCTTCCCAAGGAAGCACATATTCAAAGACTAGCTGTGGTGGGAGCGGGGGGTGAAAGCCCAGACAGTTCTGCCCAGAAAGGGACAATTTTGATGGGCCATTTTAATTCTGTGGGATCAACCTAGGCTGTCGTCATACCAGCATTTCAGCTCTACCTGTCTCACTGCCCTAACTTGCTTCCTTCCACTTCCTTCCACAGATTTTACTCCCACTGGTAGCCCCTAATGAAAACTGCATATGCTACAATTGGTTTCAGAGTCTGCTTGACTGAGAATCCATCCGGTTGTGACATGCATTTTATTTCTTGTACTCCTTGAAACACATTATTTACTTAGATTATAGACACCATAGTCATCTGTTTTAGTTTTTTTTCTGTTTCCTTGGCCACTATTTCTTCTTGTTTGTAAGTTATTTTCCCAATTCATCATGCCCCCAAACTCACTTCCTAGTCCTTTTCCATTTTTAAAAAATTCTCCCCACATTCTCTTGCTGATATTAGCTATTTTGTTGCTTTAAATACCATGCAATCTGTTTTCAATACAGCAGCCAAAACAGTCATGTTAAAATACCAAGTTATGTCATTTCTTTCCTGAAAACCATTCCACAACTTCTTATCCCAATCATAGTCTAACCCAGTTCTTTGTTTTGTTTTGTTTTGTTTGTTAGAATAGTCTGAAAGACCTGATACCAGTGGTTCTCAACCCTGGATGTATATTAGAATCACCTGGAGATCTTTAACCACTACTCCAGCCTGAAACTCAGCACAAACGAATTAAATAAGAATATCTGGAGGTGATATGTGGTCCTCACTAATTGTGTAGCTCTTAATAAGAGCATCGACATGCATCTCTAGATTTAAGAAGCACTGCCTTAGAACTCTAACTCCTTGTTCTCTCTGATCTCCTCTCCTAGTACTCTGGTCATATCTCACTGAGCTTTAGCCTCACTGGACCCTTTCTCATGTTTTAAACACACCAAGCAGCACTCTGGACTCTGAGCTTACTGTTTTCTCTGCTTGGGACGCTTTCCCTCACGTATCTGGTGGTTCACTCCTTCACCAGCCTCAGATCTTTGCCAAATTTCACTGACCCATTAATCATTTTCCAACTTATCTATTTGAAAGTGTCACCCCTTCCTTCTTCAAAACTTTTAATTTCTCCAAGCATTTATTATATGTCATTATACGTGTTTTACTTGTTATTTCTTAGCTTCCTATACTAGGTTCCTATTGCCATTGTAACAAGTTACTACATACTCCATCTTAAAATAACACAAATTTATAATCTTACAGTTCAGGAGGTCAGAAGTTCAAGATGGAAATTACCGAGCTAAAATCCAAGGTGTCAGCAGGGCTTTATTTCTTCTAGAGGCTATAGAAGAGAATCTATTTCTTTGCACCCTCCAGCCTCTGGAGACTGCTGGCATCCCTTGGCTCATGGCCCCATTTCTCCTTTTGCAAAGCCAACAATCCTAGTACTCGGGCCTCTACTTCTGTGGTCACATCTCCTTCTCTGAGCTAACTCTTCTGCTTTCCACTTTTTCTCGTGAGAATCCTTGTAATTACATTGGGCAGCCTGATAATCTATGATAATCTTACCATCTCAAAATTCTTAACTTAATTATATTTGCAAAGTCCCTTTTGCCATATAAGGTAACACAGTCACAGGTTCCAGAGACTGGTATGTGGGCATCTTTTGAGACCATTATTCTGCCTATTATACTTCCTCCTCTCAAATATATTCTCCCTGAGAGAGGCATTTCTGTCCACGTGGGTCACTGCTCTATCCCACGTACCTAGAGCAGCGCCTTTTTTGTTGTTTAACAATTTGTTGAATTAATTTATTAATTCAGTGACCTATGACTCCTCCAAAGCTGAGATGAACCCAACAGGTGATGAGCATCTTGGAGATTTTTCCACCTCATCAAGTTATTTTATTTGGCTACACATAATATGCTAGAAGGAAATTCATTTTTACATACTGCTTTTAATAGCCAAAGTATGCTATCCTAAAATATTTTATGAACATCTGCTTTATATTTGCTACCAAGCCCCATAAGGGACAATCTTAGCAGAATCAAAGCCAGATTCACTCAACTTAGAGCTCAAACCAGACAGTTAAAATAAATTTAGATGGAGGAAAGTGCTCCAAAGATTCCTAGACTCATCAAACCACAGAAAGATTTGGAAGAAATATTAAAAGGTCACTTGATATATTCCGCTGTCTTCATATGAGATAAAAATGTCACAAACTTAGGCTTATCACTGTTTTAAAATTTGTAATTCACTTTGAGCTCCTTGAGATAAGGAATTATATCTTATTTATTTTTTAATCTTTAGTATCTAGTACATAGTAAGCATTCACTATGTGTTCTGGAAAGATATATTGAATAAATAAATGTAACAAAATTCTTCATGCCATAAAAGCTGAATATGGAGCTGAAAATCAAATTTAGAGAAAATAAGCACCCATCTTTATGAACTAAAAAGAATTTTATAAAATAAGATATATAATCATATCTCTAAATCAATTATAATGGTACCAAGAAATAACAGCTATGGCTGCAGCTATAGTAAAGCCCACCTCTGAATACTGTCAAAGCCAGGTTTGTACTTATACCAATGACCTTTTGCAACCATTCTCCCAATTACACAAGCCAAAACTTAGGAATCATCTCTGCTTTTCCACTTTCTCTCCCATCCTTACATTCCATCCACCACCAAAACCTGTGGCTCTGTTTTCAAAATATATCCCTTGTAGAAGTCATTGTTAATGTTCAACAAATATCCCCATTCTTTTGCACATTTCCTAATCCCCATATAGTTAGGTTGGAGCCATGGGATTAATTCAAAGAAATTTGAATGGCAACAGTGACTATCTCCAAGGCAATTAGGAAATGGTGGACATCCTCTAGCTCCCTATTCCTCAGCTGTAGTGACCTTAAAGGCCACATGTTCCAGATGGCATAGCTAGAAGATTGAAGATGCTGAGATTCTTGAGTCACTATTTGGAGGAGGGCCACTTTGGAGAGCTTCCCAAACTGCTTTGGACTGTGAGATAAGAAATGCACTTATATTGGGTCAAGCCACTGAGATTATGGGATTTGTGTTTTGTAGCAGCTAGCATTAATTACTCTAAAAAATAACAAGATCAGAACCAGGAATGGGCGGGGACTTCTCTAACAAAAATGAAAACAAAAATATGTGGTGTCTGCTCAGGAGTCAAATGTCAGGACAGCCAAGAAAGGGATAGTGGAGGTTGTAAATGTATTAATCCTTCGTATACAGAAAGAAAACATGTGATTATGCTATTACCTACAGCAACTTATGATCATATAATTACTGAGCTAGCAACTCCAGGGAAATAATTGTAAAACAGAAAATTAGTAGTGTTAGTTGCCTAGCATAGGCTCTGAAAAGGTTACCTTATCACAGAGGCCTTTTCTCTCCTCTCCACTCACAAGTTAACCCTTTATTCTACTCTTGAGGCTTCACATGACTCATTATTATCCTCAATTATAATATATCTTTGTTTATTCACTGACAACTTGTCTCACTAGAATAAAATCTCCATGAGAAAGAGGCTTAAGTCTCACATTTACCACTTTTATCATTAGAATCTTTAACAGTACCTGACACATAATAGCAAAAAATGTATTAAACAAATAAAAGAATGAATGTATATTCTCTAATTATTGGTTTCAGATGAAGGTTCCTTAATATGCATCAGTGTCTGTCTTTGCTTCTCCTCTCTCTCCCTCTCTCTTTCACCCTCTTGTTCATGTTCACACAGTCTCTCATCTCTTCTTTCCTTTGTGTATCTGCTTTATGTTTCTTTCCCTAGAGACTGGTTTCTCTGCTTCCAAGTTCACATGGCAGCCCCACAGCATCCAAATTAATATGTTATCTCACCATAGTTTAATTTGAAATTATTTTGAGAAATAATCAAAATAATTTGGCTAATTTATGACCAACTGTTGATGGTCATTTGAGGAGAGGGGTATATACACAGTTGTCTATGTCCATAGCAGAAATCTCAAAAAAGCAGCTACTACAAAGCTCTTGACAACAAAATGATAAAGATGATTAATAAATTTTCAAATAACAATCCCCTATTTAGAAACATAAATATTTTATTAAGCGGTTCCTCAGGAAACCATGCACATAAAAGTAATTTTAAAAGCCCTAAAAATTACATTTAAAAGATGAAGTAGAGAGCTGAGTGATATTATTGACCATTTTGAAGAGTAAGAAAATAATGTATATTTAAATCAAGTTGTACATAAGGAAATATTCCAAAATCTTTGGGATTACTTATTCACAATCACATGTTTGAAGCACCATTTTCTTTATGGGAATGATGATATGACAAGAAAAAAACGGAATGAGAGTTATAAAAATAGAAGTATGTATAGTTTTTTCTTCTGTATTCGATTGTTCTACTTCCTTTGTCTTTCTTTTAGGAAAAGAAAACTTAAATAGCTCAAGCAACCAATTCATAAGCAGATGGAAAAGAAAGTTTGCAAAAGTTTAGCGTTTTCCTGAAAAAGCCACAGATTAAATATTCTGACAGGAGAAACCCCATTTATGACTGTGATTTGTCCATAAAATACCAACCAAGTTAAAATAAATGTACAGCTTGCATTTTATGTAGTATGCAGGAAATATCGCCCAATTATATAGTCTAGTTTAAACAAATCCAATTGCATTCTGATTTGGGAAAATAATTTTAATATAACATTTTATCATTATTTGATAATTTAATGTACAACTTATGTACATAGCTGTATAATATACACATATGTATACACACATAAGCACACAGTATGTTTTAAATGAAAACATTAAAAATTAGCTTTAAGATTGCATCATAAATGAGTATCTTATCTCTTGCTTCTTCTCAAATTCTTCAGATACCCATTGTCCTCTGCTGCTGGGAAACTGTCAAATTTAACAAAAACACGAGGTCTTTTTATTTTACTTCACAAAGGGTCTCTTCTGTTTTCCTTCCCATACCAATTAGAAATAATATTCCAGAAAGCCAAACAGATGATTATTTGATTATTCTACAATCTGAAAAAGTTTTAACATTCCCTTCTTTCACTTCATTCATTTAGGAAGAGAGAGAGAGACAGTGTGTGTGTGTGTGTGTGTGTGTGTGTTTACACAATATACTGAGTGTTGAAGAGACAATAGTGAATAAACCAATTTCCTGCCCTCAAATACTTAGGGTTTGACTATATGCCAATAGGCAATGTGCAATGTATAGTGTCTCATTTTATTCTTTAAACCCTTTGAGCTAGGATTAATGCCATTTTAAATATGTGATAAATTCTTTAATAAGCCCAAGCTCAGATGGTGTTCATTTTTTTAAGTCTCTGGATATCTAATCTTCAAAAGCAAATATTAGTTATTGCGATGGTATTTGAGGCACAATTTGGTAAAATTTGATTAAAAGTCTAGGACCCCACATTCCCCTTTCATCAAATATTTCTTATATGATTGCTGAGGAAGCTAAATACATACAGTACTATGAAACAGAAACCCAAAATGTTGCTTTAATTCTTAGTGGGAGAGTAGGAATACCCAAATGCAAGACTTTCTCGTAACCTGGATCAAACACATCACTTCAGACTCAAGCCCTAGGAAGGCTTCTCTATCTTACCAGATGCAATCCAATCAGGATGATTTCCTAAGGTTTAGGGAATGTTCTAATAGGAAGCAGAGAGATATAAGATGGAGAACTGACCCTCCCATATACGAGTTCAACTCAGTTCCCTTACAAGTCCTAGAGACAAGGAAAAGAAAGTAGAAAGAAAAGATGCACAGTGGCCCTGACCACTAGTAGCAATAGCCCAACCACTGATACACGGTCTGAAGAACCAGATTGGATTATCTCCCTTTTGGGGAACAAACAAAAAAACAAAAACAACAACAACAACAAAAACAGTGTTGGATAAAATGAGCATTTTCCCTCACATTAAACTGGTATATGTTAAAGACAGAATATGACTCGTTTTTTTCACTTTAAGAACAATTATTTTAACTGCTCTCCCATAAAAAAAAGTTTTCTGGAATTGAGCAATGAGAACACATGGACACAGGAAGGGGAACATCACACACCGGGGCCTGTTGTGGGGTGGGGGGTGGGGGGAGGGATAGCATTAGGAGATATACCTAATGTTAAATGACTAGTTAATGGGTGCAGCACACCAACATGGCACATGTATACATATGTAACTAACCTGCACGTTGTGCACATGTACTCTAAAACTTAAAGTATAATAAAAAAAAATAAAAAAAAGTTTTATTGGCTTTGCATCTTCAAAAGAGAGCATTATTTACAAAAAATGGCCCCCTAACTAATAGAATACTCAAAGGATTTATGTTTAATCACAAAAGCTTCCTCTGCTTCTATTTCCAGGAAACCATCTCTTCTTGCTACAGCTTACTCACTCAGCCCATTCCTCACATGTGTATTCTAACCAAAGTAGATTTTCTCAGATTTTATTAACCGTACATTTTAAGGAACAATCCTAAACTTTCCAGGGGTGGTATTTGATAGCAACAGAGAGATCAGCAATAATTATCATGATTATATAAAGCAAAAGAATGAGAATTGTAGAGAAAAACTTATTTAACTTAAAACAAGTATATTTCTTATTTTTTTTTTTATTTTAAACATGTAATGTTAACTAAAGCACTAAGTCTTGCTTATCAGAGATGCTTATTTTGGGTAGTATGGAAAATACAACTCATGGAAACCCAGGATCATTGTTAAGTAAGTTGTACTACTTTTAAAAATATATTCACAACCTTTCTTCCAGCACCAGATTTAAGATAGGTATGCTGTTCAATATCTCTGTCTTTGAAATTTGTTTTCCCTATTTCTGTATTTTTTCCTCTTTCTTTACTTTGTGATTTCTGAATTGTCAATCTTTAATACTCAGATCACATGATGAGGGCTTTAGCATTCCATCTCACAGAATTCTGTCCCTGTAGAGTTGTACACTTTCTAATTTTAGAACTTGACACAATGTTTTCTGTGCCACAGCACTGTGAAGTTTTGAAAGAAGAGACCATATTCTATTCAACTGTGAAATCTTCTGCACCCAAAATCCATCACAGTGTGGGCCTATTAAACGAATGAGCGAGTTTAGAAGGGACAAGTCCAGAAATCCATAACTCTAAACCCCCAGACAATTATGCCTCTCTCCACAATCCCTCATCTCTTAATAATACCCATATGAATATAACAAGCAAGTTCCGACTTGGTGTTTTCATCTTTATATAGTTTTGGGAAATCTATGTCTTTCAAGATTTCTGTAGCCTAAAAAGATTAATTCATGGTGACTCATTCTGATCCATATTAAACAGGACAACAAATTGTAAAACCTCTTCAAATTTTCAGAGTCCAGCACCTACATTATTTACTGGAACAGAGCTAATAATACGATTTTGTTACACACATCATCCCTGGATTTATTATATTTTGTTGCTTTGTTTAGATTTTCCTTATATAATTAAAACATGTATTTTTGTAAATGACCTTAAGTCATTCCTAGAAAAATTTGAGGAATGAATAATTAGACAAATGAAAGATATACCAACTGATGATTTCTATTCCTTCCATAAGTTTTTATAAGCCACTGACAAATGTGAGTTCTCTAGTTCTAATATAGCAGTATATTAAGTTTAATACTGAAAACAAAATCAGTTATTATTTAAAATTTGATGTTGGGCATTCTCCCAGAACACACTTTCTACATCGGAAAGTTAGAGTTTCACTGGCCTTAATTCCCATCTCTAAACTCATTTCATATCCAAATAAGCTATTTTATTCAATAAATATTTATAAAGCTCCCTCCTGACATGCATTCAAAGTTGTTCTGTCAAAGAGAAAAGGTTAGTGAAGCTCAATTAGACCAAATGGAATGCTTGAGAGAACAGAACTGTCTTTGGCATTTTTTGAACATTAATACTGAGTGAGTCGATTCTGTGCCCTTGGACAAGGAATTTTGTAGCTCTGAGCTAGAATTGAAAGGTTTGTCAGTAGCACCTGCCCACACCAATCTATATATGGTGATGGGATAAGCCATCACATAAGGGTTACACATGACTGTGTAAAGAAAAAACGTGTTTTCAGGTAAGCATTTCCCAGCTATTTCATGTATTTAAAGAGAGCCTGCACTGTTGCTTTGAGGCTGATAAATATGTACTCTATTCCAACTCAGAGGAAGGTACTATTTAGAGCAGAAATATCTGCAGAAAAGACAACTAAGCAGAATATTTAAGGAATCTTCTGGAAAATAAGGGAGATGCTAATCTACAAGTCACTGAAACTCTAATTTCTCATTTTCTAATTGTTCCTGTTAGGTAAAAGCTAAAATGTGCAGTAATTTTCAGCTTTGTCACCAGAGAATTTTCATTTAAATGCTGGATATAAACAGCTGAACCTGAGACTCAAACTGAGCAAATATTCAGTTTGGTAAGACAAATGCCTGTTATAGCTGTAGATCTGGAAAGAACCATGTAGCTCTAAAACATAATGCCTACAGCTCCACAGGATAAAGCAAAATCAAATGTAGATCTTTTCTGTTGCATGACTGATTTGTGTAACTGGATAAAGAAAAATTCTTCCAGTATTAAGGAGTTATATAGAAATATGAAAAAATTTTGACAGTAATCAAGTAAAAAGAGGGGACTGGATTAAATAATCAGCAGTTTTACTTATTATCCCAACTATTTGTTACCAACAGAGGTTACCACGTTAAAGCATTTCTAAATTATTAGTCAATGCTACACATTTTCCCATCAAATCAAAAATGCATCAGTCGGTTCTGATATTTAATGTTGCTACTAATTTGTTATATAAGTCCAAGTTTCTTTGTAAATCACTATTTTATCAATAAAAATGGAAGTAACATATTTCCTCCATATCTTTAAAGCTTATTGCAAGAATAAGATGAGATAGTAGGTAGATGTAAAGTTATGCATTTAAAGTCAAAAATTCAATTGTTCAAAATAAGTCAACTGTCTACGAAGATCTTGCAATGTATCAAATCAATAAACAAAAACAACAAGAAAACAAAATAAGTCAATTGTCTAAATATAGAATATGAGAGAATACACTTAAAACTATACTATAAAAAAGATTATAATCTCTCATGGACATTTTAATGAACAGGTGCTAAAAAGCTAATAAAATCTGAGACTACAAAAATAAAACTATTGTCTAGCTCAAGGGACACAACAGGGCACAATATTCTGTACCGGTCACATCAAGTAGTCATTGCTCAGAACTTTGAGAGCCTTTAAGAAGGGATAGGTGAAGTATTTGGAAACTGTGTCACAGGAACAAACTTTGAAACCACCAAGGATGATTACCCAGGACAAGTAAAGCTTTAGAAGTATTGTCATTAGAACAGTACATTAGCAAAAGAAATGTGAATTAAAATATGGCTAGCAAGACAGATCACGAGGTCAGGAGATCGAGATCATCCTGGCTAACACGGTGAAACCCCGTCTCTACTAAAAATACAAAAAATTAGCCAGGCGTGGTGGCAGGAGCCTGTAGTCCCAGCTACTCGGGAGGCTGAGGCAGGAGAATGGCGTGAACCCAGGAAGTGGAGCTTGCAGTGAGCCGAGATCGCACCACTGTACTCCAGCCTGGGCGACAGAGCAAGACTCCGTCTCAAAAAAAAAAAAAAAAAAATATGCCTAGCAATTATAGCTCTACACAAGTAAAAAGATGATGCAACAAAGTAATGAACTTTCTGTCATTAGAAACGTTCAGGCATAGGCTAGATAATCAATCAACTGACAGAGTGCTCTAGAGAAGATATCCTAGGTATACTCCAAAGACTTACAACCAGACAATTTTAAAATTGAGGCTATAACAGTAATTTTTAAACTAATTGTACTGGACAAAGGAAAGACTTTGTCATCCTGTAGAAATAGATTTCTCCAGTATAAAAATCTTTGAGTAATACGCTAACATGCCATTATTCTGAGGATGATGCTTCCGGATGGTAAAAGGAGACAAATGGAACAATTACTTCCTGTTCACCACACCATTTTCACAGTGAGCGCTTGTGGCTTGGATGCTACTGCCAAGTGCATGATTAAAAACAAACACTTTTCAATGTGAACATGCAATTTGTCTATCATTCCTATTAATGAAGGCAAGAATTGCTTCTGTTTTGAAAATAAACTTTTAAAAACTTATCTTCCCAGAAATTACTTGAAATGAGAAAAATTGATTTTATTAGAAGGTAATCCTAGAAATACAATATTGAGATACATTGTAAAAATGAAAACTGTTCTGTGAATATGACTTGTTTTGTTTTTTTAATGTAAAGCTCACTATCCCATTTCAGATTGTTTGCATATATTTAAATAAAGAATTTTCCATGAGCTGTGCAATTTGAAAACTTCTTGGTTTATATAGGATGCACATATTTATCTGAGGTTACACATAACCAGATAAATACCAAAACTTTCCTAGATTTTGTATACATACCTGGGAAAATTGGAAATTTACTCTAAAGTCATAATTGACTACACAATCAAATTAATTACATAATTTGGCTCCTTATTCTTCCTGCTATTCAAGTGCATTGAGTAAGCTCAAACAGGATTAGCTGGCTCATTCTAAATCCAGATACTCAGAATAAGATTTTGAGACCATAATTGTCCACACATCCTATCTCCTGAAGGGAGTCATAGAATCAATTTTCATCAGGGACGAGTCAGGTAATGAAAAGATAAAAGACATCAGAGAGTGACAGAGCCTGCAGAAAATGACAGACAATCCCCTGACAAAATACATCAGCCTCAATTTCTAAAAATTATATGGTGATCAAATAAAACATTTCTGTGACCTAGATCTAACTCAGAGTCAAGAAGATAAAATCCTGACCTAATGTTCAGCCATTTTATTTTATTTTATAGATAGCAAACCAATACCATCTTGTTGGGGGAAGTCAGGGACCCCAAATGGAGGGACCGGCTGAAGCCATGGTGGAAGAATATAAATTGTGATGATTTCATGAACATTTATTAGTTCCCCAAATTAATACTTTTATAATTTCTTATGCCTGTCTTTACTGCAATCTCTGAACATAAATTGTGAAGATTTCATGGACACTTATCACTTCCCCAATCAATACGCTTGTGATTTCCTATGCCTGTCTTTACTTTAATCTCTTAATCCCATCATTTTCGTAAACTGAGGAGGACGTATGTCGCCTCAGGACCCTGTAATGATTGCGTTAACTGCACAAATTGTTTGTAGGACATGTGTGTTTGAACAATATGAAACCTGGGCTCCTTGAAAAAAGAACAGGATAACAGCAATGTTCAGGGAACAAGAGAGATAACCTTAAACTCTGACTGCTGGTGAGCCGGGTGGAACAGAGCCATGTTTCTCTTCTTTCAAAAGCAAATGGGAGAAATATCACTGAATTCTTTTTCTCAGCAAGGAACATACCTGAGAAAGAGAATGTGTCCCTGAGGGTGGGCCTCTAAAATGGCCCCCTTGGGTGCGGCCGTCTTTTATGGTCGAGCTGTAGGGATGAAATAAGCCCCAGTCTCCCATAGCGCTCCCAGGCTTATTAGGATGAGGAAATTCCTGCCTAATAAATTTTTGTTAGAGGGGTTGCCTGCTCTCAAACCCTGTCTCCTGATAAGATGTTATCAATGACAATGCATGCCCAAAACTTCATTAGCAATTTTAATTTCGCCCCGGTCCTGTGGTCCTGTGATCTCGCCCTGCCTCCATTTGCCTTGTGATATCTTATTACTTAGTGAAGCACGCGATCTCTGTGACCCACACCCTATTCATACACTCCCTCCCCTTTTGAAAATCCCTAATAAAAACTTGCTGGTTTTACAGCTCAGGGGGCATCATAGAACCTACTGACATGTGATGTCTCCCCTGGATGCCCAGCTTTAAAATTTCTCTCTTTTGTACTCTGTCCGTTTATTTCTCAAATCAGTTGATGCTTAGGGAAAATAGAAAAGAAACTACATGAAATATCGGGGTGAATTTTGCCCAATATCTGGCTGAATTTTCCCCGATATCTGGCTGAATTTCCCCCAATACTATCTATATGGATGTTGAGTTAAATACGTGACTTTTTCAAGGTCATATAGTAAATTATGGCAAAGCCAGATCTAGATTCTATGTGTTCTGTGTTTTGGTTGCATGACACTTTTAAGTTATGTGTTTGACTCTATTGCTGAAATCCAGAGCCTATGGTTCTGACCTTTAAAATATTTTCATGTATATAAAGATTGTGTTTCTTTGTGCACTGATGTCTTGTCTAATACTAATTCCCTATTCTTTTTGCTTTTTCTATTAACAAAAGACTACCGTGTGAAGTAAAACATAGTGAAAAAATCTTGTAAACATATTTAGCAGGTACTCCTCTAAATCTTGGTGAAAATGCTGTACTACTTTGTAAATTAAAAAGATCCAAAACTGGAATACATTCTGAGATGCCGACTTAGTTAATAATGAAAATTGAGCCTGCCATACTCTGTGTATACCCAGTTCTGCTACATTTGCATAGAATTTTCCTTGGGGAGAACAATAAACAATCTTGAAATCCCATGAATGACTGGCCTGGCATGGATCTTCACAGTCTGCTATTAATAAAAAAACTCTGTTAGAAAAAAACCAAAGAATAATAAACATTTTCTTGCTAGTAAGTCATTTATAGAGAGACTATCATCCCACTTTTTTTTCACAGCCTAAACATATGTTACTGCATCTTCAGAAAGATTCATTTTTGCTTAGATGAGACATGGCAAGCAATTGGAGCCTTCAATCCAGTGATCTGCAAGGATGACATCATACCAGGAATAATCATCATGTTTATGATGGTTATGTCCATCAGGACATTAAGCATTTGTTACTCCTATATAGGCCAGAGGAGAGAAACAAAAAATCATTATTGAAGTGGCTTCAATCTCTGGGTCCAAATTACAATTATTATTTGCCTCTAAGTCTTCCGATTACATAGGGATTCTTCAATGCCAATTTATCTCTTCTAGAAATTTGTTTTTCATTCTTAAAATAGAAGCATAGCTCTACCTTGAACACAATGATGAAAGATGAGCACATGCAGCCCAATCTATTTTTATGAATGAATTGGTTTGATTTCCTTTTTGGCAACTGCAAACTCAAAGCATCAGAATAAATGTGTTCATTCAACAAAAATGCGTCTTGTTTGATTGAATAATGCTGTGATCCAAGCAAAAGAGTCTTAGAAAAATGGAAACGATTTGCAAGGAAGTCAGTGAGATATTCATATCTTTTTTTTTTTTTTTTTTTTTTTTTGAGACGGAGTCTCGCTCTGTCGCCCAGGCCGGACTGCGGACTGCAGTGGCGCAATCTCGGCTCACTGCAAGCTCCGCCTCCCGGGTTCACGCCATTCTCCTGCCTCAGCCTCCCGAGCAGCTGGGACTACAGGCGCCCGCCACCGCGCCCGGCTAATTTTTTGTATTTTTAGTAGAGACGGGGTTTCACCTTGTTAGCCAGGATGGTCTCGATCTCCTGACCTCATGATCCACCCGCCTCGGCCTCCCAAAGTGCTGGGATTACAGGCGTGAGCCACCGCGGAGATATTCATATCTTAATGGAGATGAAACCACTCTCTCCCTGGGATTTTTCAAAGACATAGTTAGATAGTCTTGTTGAGTATGAGAATGGTAGGCAGATATTTCCCATTGGCCCTTAGCTACTAAACAATTACACTTCTCCAGTCATTCCCCAGTCCCATGACTAACTGTTACTATTTACCTAGTCTCTAGTATTAGTACTTCATGTGTCCATTAGGATTTTGTTGGTTGTAATCAATACAAACCAACATTAAATAAGCACAAAACGTAAGGAATTTTATAGAAGGTTGTCATATAACACAGATTCAAAGATAATACTAGTGAGCCAGATTCAGGAAAGAACAAGAATTAGGGAAACTCTGCTCAATAGTCAAATTCCCACAGGAACAGGTGTGGCTTAATTTGGGACACTACGCTAAGAGAAGCCAGAATACTTTGGTTATTTCAACAAAACTGCCCAGAGGAAAGGTAATTTCCCAAAAGGAAAAGGAGGTGCTGTTATCAAATGGGAGGGGGAAGAAATTAAGTATGCACTACACTGTCCTGTCCTCTATATTTTTTGTCATTGATCAATGCAAGATTGAGAACACAGATTCCAACAGAGGCCAAGAACATCAACACAGGCTCTTATCCAGGCCTCTTCATTTGTCTCCATCTTACCCTAGCCTTGGTTTCTGACCAAAAGTATATTTTCAACACTTCTGATTTGGGACCAGGCCTGTACCTGGGAACTCTTGCTGTTTTATACTTTTATATCACAGGACAGACATGAAACTACCAAAGATCAGCCTAAACATTGGTGTGGTTTTGTTTGTTTTTATCTTAGTTTCATTAAAAAAACCTAATAACTTACTGCTAATAACTTCTGAGCATCACTACCTATTGGTCTATGAGTTCATTATAACAGAAAGTATCAAACAGGAAAAATTCATTTTATAAAACTCAGGGGCAATTAATTTCTGATTTTTAGATACATAAACTTTTAAACTTGATGTGAAAATAAGGATTCAAGAATTATTTCTGTATTTACCATGAACAACTAAAAACAGTTGTACATCCCCAATATGCCACAGTGGGCATTTTGACCAATGAATATTTTATAATGTGCTCAGTAGGCCTAAAAGAAATCCTTATTATTATCACCGACAGCAGAAGCACCAATTGCTAGCATTTTCTCAGGTTTCAGGATATTCCAGACCTAGAGCTGGATGCTTTGCAGACATCAGTCTCTAATGCATATGGTCACTTGTGAGAAGAATGGCCCTATTTCCATGTTATAGATAAACACATGAATGCATACAGTGGTTAAGTAACATACCTTATTTAGCTAGCAAATGCTTAAAACTGGGGGAGAAAGGCTCATTGGACCCAAGGTTTTTTCCACTATGCCGTAATTCTACAAAAACCACCAGACACTTTGTATATTATTTAAGAAAAATAAATCTAGTTTATTCTTAGGTATGTCAAATTTAATTCAGGTGACTTAGGTACAGAAGATGTCAATAACTTTTTAAATAAAAGAGGGTAAAATTCATTATGGGGGAGGTCAAGAGCACCCATCATATTCAAATTCATGCTTAAAAATAAATTATAATAACTAACAAAATCAGCTGAGAGCCTTTTTAAAAAAATTCTTATTACTCAGGTGTTACTAGGAAGTAACAACATAATGAGAAATATTTTTGTATTTATTTTTGTATTTACAAAATCTAACCACATGATAAAAATCATGGCTAATATTTATTGAGTACTCACGACGTGCTTAATATTGAACTTAAAAATATACTCACTTCTCTCCCCATCCTATTCTTCCTTTCTCCTACATTGAAGTTGTTTTCTGTCCTTATATACATGGCTTCTCATCATTGACCTTACTGACATTTTGGATTCTTTGTCATAGGGGGCAGTCCTATGCATTGTAGGATGTTTAGCACTCTCTGGCATCAACCCACTAAATGCCAGTAGCAGCACTGTCCACAGTTGCGACAGCCAAAGTATCTCCAGGCTGGGTGCAGTCGCTCATGAATGTAACCCCAGCAATTTGGGAGGCTGAGGTGGGTGGATCATTTGAGGTCAGGAGTTCGAGACCAGCCTGGCTAACATGGTGAAACCATGCCTCTCCTAAAAACCTGAAAATTAGCCAGGCATGGTGGTGGGAGCCTGTAGTCCCAGCTACTCAGGAGGCTGAGACAGGAGAATCGCTTGAACCTGGGAGGTGGAGGTTACAGCAAGATTGCACCACTGCACTCCAGCCTGGGCACCAGAGCAAGACTCCATCCCAAAAACAAACAAACAAAAAAAGTATCTCCAGAATTATCCAAAAGTGCTGGGGGAAGAGAAGAGGCAAAATAACTCCCAGCTGGGAACCACTGTTCTAGTGACTCCCTTCTGCACCTGTTGCTTGTACCCTCCCTGCCACCTTTGCAATATGGCATATATAACCTGTCTATAATAACTTTTCTCTCTAGAATCTTTAAATTCTCTTAAATTGTTTATTTCCATTGGCTTTATATACACAAGAAACTCCCTTTTAAGAATGGTGATTAATTAATTTAAATATTCTCCTGACCCTAATGTTTGTATTAACCTCTGTCCTGTCACTCTTCCCCACTTCCTAGAAAAATTTGCTGGAAAAACCATCTATACTTGTGTTCATTTGCCCACTTTCCTTTCTCTTCTTATCCCCATCTTAAATTGGCTTATCCTTCTCTTTCTCTCTTTCCTTGGATCCCGTGTACAAGTTCCTGATTTTCCTTTCTCTCTGGAAGTTTCTTGCCTCCTTCTACTTCCCTCTCCTTTTCTCCTCCCCTCTCTTACTTTCTCTTTTCTTCCCCCTCCCTCTCCCTTCCTCTCCTTCCTTTTCTCTTCCCCTCTCTCTCTCACTCACTGTCTCTCTCCTCTTTTTCTACCCTCTTTTCTGACTCTCTTCTCTATCCTCTCTTTATCTCTCTCTCTCTCTCTTCCTCTCTCTCTTTTCTCTCTCTCTTAGACTCCACTTCCTGGCTATAAAATTGTGGCATTTCTCAAAGCTGATTCCTAATTATTCTTCTATTACTCAAGTTTCTCTGCCTCAGTGATCTCACTCATCCCCTAGCTTTATAGGTGCATATATGATGATGGCTCACAAAATTTATGCTTGCCTCTTAGGTCTCTCCTTGGAGCATCAACTAACCACATGTGTCCAACTGATGAGTTGACATTTCCTTTCAAAGATCCTAAAGCACCTGAAGCTCCACATGTCCAAAATAAAACTTAAGGTCATTTCATCTTCCAACCTACTTTTTGTCCCTTTCTTTATTACAGTAATTTGATCTTTGATCTATCTTGTTGTGCAAGTGGGAAACATGTGTCCCTCTTAAAACTTACATCTTACCTTCATATCCAGTTAATCACAAAATATGTAAAGTTAGTGATGGACATGAATCTTAAATACCTCTCAATTCTGTCCATTTTTTTTTATATTCATCAGTTCTAGCCTAGCATACTGCCTTCTTCTCATAGCTAGTTAGGAGTTATGACAGTAGTGTGGCAGTGGGTCCACCTGAATCTGTTCTGGCCCACTCCAGCAGGTAAGCCAGAGGAAGGTCAAGTGATATATGTTTATAATGGAGATCACTGATCTCATTACACACTATACCTTTAAAAACTTTAAATGGTTCCTCAGTGCCTTGTGAAACACACAATACTTAAAGTTTATATAATAAGCAAATCATATACAAAGCACAATGGCAAACTCATCATCAAGCTATAAAACCAGTGAGATCTATAATAATAATACTAACAACAACAAAGCCAAAACATAGAAGCTTTATTATTAAGCAGGTACTATTCTAAGTGTTTTACATACATTAGCTAATTTCATATTCACAGCAGCCCTACGAAGTGGACACTATCTTTGTGCCCATTTTACAGATGAAGAGCTGAGGCTCAGAGAGTTGAAGTGATCTTAAAGAGACACACAACCATTAAGAGTCAAAGACAAGATTCAAATCCCAATAGTCTGGCTCCAGGCCCGCAATCTAGATAATCACACTATAATATCTCTCAATAATATAAGACTTTAAATTAGCTCACAATATATACACCAGAATTTTTATTTAATTGGACTTTTCTTACCACTTTTACGGTGGCAAACGCCATAAAAATTAGAAGAAAAAAGCATTCAATTGCTACCATTTAGGAGCCATCTAAAATTTTCAATTAAATGTGTGTTGTAATAATGCTTTCTTCTAAAGTGTTTGGACATACAGGAGATAGAATCACTAACCAACTATGAAATGGAAGGTATCAAGGAAGAGAGGAGAGTCATGTTAAAGATATAAAATTATCTTAATGCTACAAACAGGATTAAATGCATTACAACTACTAAAGAAGAAGAAGGCATTAATCTGAAGGGAAAACAGAATTTACGACATACTTGTGCTATAAACAACCAATACCAACAACAACGGAAGAAGGGCTGACATTTATTTAGCATTTACTATTTTAAAAAAAACCTGATGTTCCCCTTCCTGTGTCCATGTGTTCTCATTGTTCAATTCCCACCTATGAGTGAGAACATGCGGGGCCTGTTGTGGGGTGGGGGCGGGGGGGAGGCATAGCATTAGGAGATATACCTGATGTTAAATGACTAGTTAATGGGTGCAGCAAATCAACATGGCGCATGTATACATATGTAACTAACCTGCACGTTGTGCACATGTACCCTAAAACTTAAAGTATAATTAAAAAAAAAAAAGAAAAACTGAGCAGAGCCCTTTAAGGCAGTAACTTATTTGCTTCCCACAGCAATTGTATTTGTGATAAATATTATCACCTGTAATTTGCAGGCAGCTAACTGAGGCTAGAACCACAGTGCTAGAAAGCCTGAGGACTGGAATTTGAACCCAATTTAGTGTAACTCAAGTGATTACTTTAAAAACCTTTCAGAGAAAAAGAAAACATTACAAACATGCTAATATGAACATAGGTTAGATCTTCCCAGGTTCAATCTGATAATGAGACTGCCTTCCAAGGCCATGACAAAGAAATCCATGAGAAAATCTTCGGAGGCTCAAGAGAAGGTAGGAAAGTTTACTTATACAACAGCCTTTTTTTTTCTTTTTTTGCCTGCTCTGCTTTTCTGCGTTTTCCTTCTTCTCTGCTCTGAGAATTTGTTAATTGGGTTTCAAAGTGAGAAGCTGTTCTCTAGCAAAAGTGTTCTGCTCCAGCCCTTAGGTAGGTTAATATTTTAAACCTTCACCGATCATTCTCCAAGCACTACACGGCACGGTTACTCAGGAAAGGCAATAAATGTAGGCCTTGGCCACCAAATCAGTACTGGGGAGTCTTATTGACCAAAAAATAGGAATAAATGATTAAATTCAAATAAAAGCTGAATGGAGAGAATGTTGTCCTTTGTTCTTCCTGACCACTAGAGAACTTGCTTGAAAATAATTACTTTCAGCATGTATTCAAAATGCCTGCATGAGAGGCCACTCTTCCCGTGTACACAAAGTAGAAGGAATTGGATATTACTTAAAGACTCTGTAGGTGGCAGTGCTCCTAACGTAAGTCTTCATCTAGAATGCCTCTCAGGATTTGCCTAACCGTAAGCTTCTCTCTCAAAGCCATCTACAATGGTAAGATAACTTTTACTCAGATGAGAAATTAAACTTTTAAAGAACAATAACAATTTAGAAAGAACAAAATTATCTGGTCGTGAAGAAAATATGAAACATGTTGCATAATATTCAGGTGCATTTGTAAAAAGAAATGTCTTTTCCTGAAGATGGATTCACTGCAAAGTACATCTAAGGCTCTGTGATTGGACACAGATAAGACTTCAATAAACATTTATTCATTATGCCCTAGAGCATGATATGATTGTTAAAAGCATGATCAAATTTATTCTGCACTTTGCAGCAGAAAAAGTCTGACTTAAGTATTCAGGCCACGGTTTACAACCCAATTCTAAATTCATGTCATAAAGAAATTAAGATAGTTACTAGGTAGTTTGCAAAGGCATTGTTTTAAGACGTTCTATAGAAGATAAAACATAGAATAATGTTCCACTGTTACTATTAGAAAACAAGGCCTATTTTATTGATAGTAGAGATGTTAGTTATATTAGGCTAAAGTCCTCTAAAAATATACAAAACTCTAATAGCTCAAACACAATAGCTGCTCACTTCTTTCTCAGTGTAAAGCAGGTGGTGTTGGCAGGTGGCTCTTTTCTTCACAGTGATACAGAGCTCCTACTTCTCTTCTGCCTTACATAGGTCCCTGCCAATGCCTATGCCCTGGCAGATGAAGAGGATAAAGAGCACACCCACTTTTTAGAGGCCATAACCCAGAAGAAGTACATACATATTCCACCCATATTTCGTTAATAAAAATGAGCTGCATGGCCATGTATAGATGTGAAAGGGGCCATAACAGTAGTCTTGGTCTGGGAAGCCATCATACAACCATGCCTCTATTGCTACAGAAAAAAGCGTTTTGACTGCCACTTAGTCATCTCCATCACAGATCAACAAAAATAAAATTCAGCTTCACTGACAACAAAATTTCAAAGGCACAATGTTTATAGTATAGGTTCCAAAAACCAATCATTCAAAATCAATGTAAATAAATAAGGAAAACAGCACACACAATTTTAAAGTGGAAAGAATCAAAATATTGGCAGAGCATTATAAAGAAGAAATACAAATTCAATTTTTGGATCTGTGGTCAACAGTTGTGCTATTTTATGCTATTTCATTCCACTGAAGAGGCAGAATATCATAAAAATGTCAGACAGACCTGATTTAAATTAAGGCTGTGTGTATTTCTAGCTGTGTTAGCTTGGGAGAGTGAAATAAACTCTCTGATTCAGTTTCCTCTTCTCTACAATGGAATTAATAGCATCTGTTCATATGGATTCTTAGTAATTAATGACTATGTAAAAAGGACAGCAGAGTTCATGGTACAAAATAAATGTTAAATAAAAAATAACGAGTATCATTATTACTCTTTCTCGTATCATTTTTGATTTTATAGGTTACCTCAACCTACCCAAAACAAAGGCAAATACTGTCATATTCAAATACCATAAATCTTGTTTCCAAGTCACTATAACATTTTCTTCATTCTTGAACCATGGAACTTCTTAAACAGATCTGACATGTGCTTTTATGCCCCTTTCTGATTGCTCATCCAGACTAGGCACCTTTCATATGATGTGCCATTATCACTTGATTTGTCTACACATTTTCAATATTTGCTTAGCATGTTGATCTATTTTTAAATTGGACAACATTTGAATATACACTGCAGAAGGGCATCTAAATCATATCTGGAAAAAACAGATTATCTTTTCAGGCTTTCCTTTTCCAGTATTTAATCTGACACATTTGATCTTCATTATTAAGTGTGAAAAAATTTAGTAGGTATAACAGAGAGCAAATAGTATGGGCTTTAGAGTCAGATAGATCTGCTTATGACTCTTGGTTCTAGAAATTATTCCCCGTGTTAATTTGGGTGTGTAACTAACTTTGAGCCTTATTTTCTTTATCCTTCAAATGGGAGGCAAGCTAGATTTTAAGGTCTTTGAAATCGAATACCTCACCTTGATTACTCAATCATTCATTATTATATTCCAGGGCCTACCAGAGTGCCCTCCACATAATAGGCAGCAAATCAGGTATCACTTTTAGTACTATCAGTAATAGGATATTATTAAAGATACCAAGAGAGGACATATAGAGCCCTAGGGAGGAGTAAACAATCATGTGTTACAGATAACAGATTTTATAAAGAAAGATTATAGAAGAGCTAAACAAATAAAAGCATCAAGCAAAAAACCCACCCTCAACTAGTCAGAAATCTTAACAAAGAACATCTTAGATACAGGATTCCATGTTAGTGCATGACCAAATGCTCCTAGATACAAAAAACCCTAAAGGTCCTAAGGAAAATATCTTCAGAAAAAGGGAAGGAGAAAAGTGAAATTTGAATTTATTTATTAAACTGAATCCCTGACATCTCTAATTTGAAGGCTATAGAAATAGATGAAGATTTGTCTCCAAATGAATAACAAAGATATCAGGTCCCCTAGAGGTTTATGTTGTAAAGTGGGCTTTACAGATATTTTCAATGGGATCATATGACCACTTATACTAAAAGTAAGGCAATATTAATAAAGTCCTCTTTAACTACATATGCATTGAGACCATCAAAATGTGCTGAAGACCTGACAGCACCATCTGCTTATCTTTTCATTGGTCCTTGAACTAATGTGTTTTATTCACATGCAGCAGTTACTTAATAAGCATTTCATTGTTTAAAACACAAATTGGTCTTTTATATCCCAAATTTTGGGGGAACTGCATGTCCCCATAAAGCAGTAAGGTATATTTTAATTTTGCCGCATGACATGACACATTCAGCTTCAATGATTTGTGTTGAGTCACTCAAATTATGAACAGTGGTTCCAAAGCACAAATGCAAACTAGGTCTGGTCGTGTTTTTGCATTTAAAAATACAGAGAAAAATGGCAATTGGAACAAACAGTGTTCAGTCCTTTGCAGAGTTTTGTTTTTAGTCAATGTCACAAACTGAACTACAGATTCAGCATAGCTTCATCTCAAAGCAAGCAATCAATAACTTACCATGGAGACACATTATGATTTTGGTAGACTTAGTAAGTTGTGCAATGTGATTTTCTATTTTTTGGTAACACCACGCCTCTAGCTCCTTAACACAGAGAAGGTTTTAATATGCATCAAGGATGGCAGCCCTGCAATTTTGTTCCCTCTTGAGTCTGTGCTTATCAGAATAACAAACTGAACAGCAGAAACCAGAAGTAGAAAAAAGAAAGAAAGAAAGAAAGAAAGAAAGTGAGTGTAAGAATCATGTCTGAGAGGAGGCAAAAGACAAGATTGCTTGGGTTGATTTTCCTCCCTCCAGCTGTAATCTTTTATAATGCTAAAATAAGATGGAAGTATCATCCTTCCAATTAGGCACCTTTATTTGGTGTACGGCCTTAGAATGCTCATATTCTGCCAGCGTGGTCCAGCAAGACCCACACCCATGGTGTCAAATCATAGTGCTCAAATCTAGAGAGGAAGCTCAGGTTCTAAGAAATTGTAGCAATAGTTCCAGGCCCTTCAAGCAATGCAAAGAACAGTTGCCTAGAAATCATTAAGGGAAACATACAAAGTGAGTAGAAATGGAATTTCATTTACATACATATATCAGTCATTAAAAAACTACACATACCCAAGATATTTCAAAGCCCTCTGACCTTTGGGGGTCCCATTTGCAATATCCAGATGAGGTGGATCCATTCTATGCACAGTGGGGAAACATTCGATATTTTCATTGGATCCCAAGGGCTTACATACTTTTGCTCCATTTATAACATAGCCTAATTTCTGTTATTCTCATCCTGTCTTACTGTGTCTTACTGTGTCTTTTTTTATGATTTGTTTTTTGTTTTGTTTTTTGAGACAGTGTCTCACCCAGGCTGGAGTACAGTGGCACGATCTCAGCTCACTGCAACCTCCACACCCCGGGTTCAAGTGATTCTCCTGCCTCAGCCTCCTGAGTATCTGGGACTACAGGCACCTGCCATCACGCCCGGCTAATTTTTTTGTATTTTTAGTAGAGACGGGGTTTCTCCATGTTGGTCAGGCTGGTCTCGAACTCCTGACCTTGTGATCCACCCGCCTCGGCCCCCCAAAGTGCTGGGATTACAGACGTGAGCCACCGCGCCCAGCTGATTTGTTTTCTTATTGAAGATAGAGCAGGCAGCACAGCACATGGGAAAAATAAAGTTGAGAGAAGGTCAGGGTTCAAATGCCTGCTCTGTGACTTATTAAAACAACTCACAGAGTTAACAGTGGACTAAAATAGATACAGTTGTAATGTCCTGGCAGGAAGTTCCTTGTAATTAAGCAATATTACCATTGTATGAGAACTTCTGCATTATGAGATCTAACCCTATCAAGCAAAAAGAATTAAGCATTATCGTATTTTTTATTTGCTTAATAATTTTACTTGAGAGATTGTGCCCTGAGTTACCTGAAAGCCTCTAAAGAAAGATCAGAGTATATGTTTTAAAGCACATATTTTTCAACCCTAGCAAGTAAGTTGCTCCATTTCAGAAATATGGACACTAACAACCAGAGATGTTAAGTGTTTAGCTCAAAACCACCGATGGAAGCCAGAGCCTGTTTTAAAAACATCCTCTCCTGATTGGTAGTTGTTTCTTTTCTCGGCAGATGGCCCTAGCTTTCTGCACCAGGTCCTAGATCTCTACCTTCCTCCAAGAATTTACATTTCACTGAGGCCAGCAAGTCTTTTAGATTCTTGCTTATCTCTGAAGCATTGATTCACAATCAAATTAAAGCCAGCAATGAGATAAATACAAAAGCTCCTTCAGAGGAATGTCTCCTCATAATGCCGGGACACAACTGAGTGACATCTTGACTTTCAGCCACATGATCCTTCTATAGAGTCATAGAAAATTACATCCATTTGAGGATACTACAGGGAGAGGTTGCTTCAAAGGCAGTAGGGTTTCATAATGAGAATCATTTGGTATTTTATACCAAATACTTAGAGGCCTCATTATTTTACTGTAACAAGGCTTTTCCAATAGGCTTTGAAATTTGGATGTTATTGTTGTTTTAATGCTCTCAAAGAAATAAATCTGAATGGTAAAAGGTAATGTAAAAGAGTTATAGTGCCTATATATCACCATTTTAGAACTCAATCTTTGAATCAATAATCCCTTCAGAAACTACTTTTTAATGTAAATGAATAGCAGGTATGGGTTAGATATGTAATGTATTCCCTTTGGTTTAAATTGATTAATGATACTAACCATTACCTTTTTTGGAGTCTTGGGCATATACTAAATTGAGAGATAAGCACTTTAACTCAGTTATCTTTAATCTCTGCAACAATTCTTTAAGAGATGATCTCAATAAATATTTGCTAGAACAAATCAATGTAATAGACCCTGGGAGACAGAGGTTTTTGTCTGTCTGAAATGTCCCCCTCCTTTCTTTGGCTTCTGTTGGGGCATTACTACGATACCCTGTGTGGTCTCCTGGATGTTGTTGTTGTTGTTGTTGTTTTATACTTTAAGTTCTAGGGTATATGTGCACAACGTTCAAGTTTGTTACATATGTATACATGTGCCGTGCTGGTGTGCTGCACCCATTAACTCGTCATTTAAATTAGGTATAAGTCCTAATGCTATCTCTCCCTGCTCCCCCTACCCCATGACAGGCCCCCATGTGTGATGTTCCCCTCCCTGTATCCAAGTGTTCTCATTGTTCAATTCCTACCTATGAGTGAGAACATGCGGTGTTTGGTTTTCTGTTCTTGCAATAGTTTGCTCAGAATGATGGTTTCCAGCTTCACCCATGTCCCTACAAAGGACATGAACTCATGTTTTTATGGCTGCATAGTATTCCATGGTGTATATGTGCCACATTTGCTTAATCCAGTCTATCATTGATGGACATACGGGTTGGTTCCAAGATGTTTTCAGTTAAGAAAACCTACCTTCTCCAACCAAAGGGAGGGAGGGCAAACCCTAGACTGGCCATTGAGAGCACCATCAATCTCCTGGCCACAGTAACAACGCCAGCAAGGCCAATCAAGTAATTGCCTAGGTGGCTGGAATGGAAAATTCTTCTGGGCTTATTCACTGTGGGGATATAAGTCTGGGGGTGACAGAGGCCTTCTTTTCCAGTACTGGAAGAGTTTGAGAGTGAAGCTGAGCAGAGGATAAGAAGGCTAACAGACGAAAAGAGTAACACTGACCCAGAAGCATCTTTTGAACCTCTGCACTAAACTATGCCTAAAGCCAAAATTCCCCTTGGATTATAGTCAATCAGTTTCCCTTTCTGGTCAATGTAGTTGGATTTGGATTTCTGTTACTTACAACCAACATTTTATTAATTAATTCCATTTTACAGATGAGAAAAGTTAAACTCTGATGTGTCATATATATTACTCAAAGACACCAAAATACATGACAAGCCAAGATTTAAAGCCAGGTCTCTAGGCTCCATAGCAGATGTGCTGGCATAGAAATTGGTTTGGGAATCCAATGTTTGCTGCCCTTGAAGCCATCATGTACTTTGAGCTTTTGTTCCTCTCGTTGGTGATAATTTGTGAGTTGTTCTCTAAATCTTAATCCTACTTATCATCCATGGAACACGTTTCTGAGACAATGGTGGAGACCAGCGAGTGAAGAAACTAAATGGTATATCCAATACCCAACTTTGAGCATTGTATTAAACAATGGTTAAAAAGTGAGAGGGGGAAAAATGAAGAAAAAAAGTCCTCCCCTCAAGGAGTATTGAACTTAAGAACATGCAGAGAGACAACTGAATAAGTAATTATAACATAACGTGATAAGTATTATATTAGAGTTATTTATTCACAGTGAGCTTTAAGAGTAAGAGACAAGTATGAAAAGATATCTAGAGGAAGTGAGATTTCCCAGAAGGGATAATACTTAAACTGAGAAGTAAAAGAAGAACAGAAACTTGTCCATTATAGAAAAGTAGAAAAAACAATCCAGACCAGTAATACAATATTTTCAAATTCAGTCAGATATAGTCAGAAAGTCAGACGTAGTCAGAAAATGGATTTTGATAAGCATCAAATTTATGAATCTAACTTCATTAGCACCACTCTGGTATTTCTTTTTAAACTAAAACATCACTGCTTTAATTCCAGTGCTTTGTGTACTCTTCCAGGATGTTTTAGGATAAATCTATTTCACTCAGCTCAACAAATATTTATAGAATACTTTTTTTTTTTTTGAAGCAGAGTCTCGCTCTGTTGCCCAGGCTGGAGTTCAGTGGTGAGATTTCGGATCACTGCAAGCTCCGCCCCCTGGGTTCATGCCATTCTCCGTCTCAGCCTCCCAAGTAGCTGGGACTACAGGCGCCCACCACCACACCCCGCTATGCCAAGCATAATGCTCGGAAATAAGTAGATGTGGGGGGTGGGGGGTGGTGTGTGGGGCAGGGGTGGATGGTGGTAAGAAGTTACTTGGTCATGAAGGATGTATTCACAATAGTCATGTTCTTCAAAGGAGTTAGGGGAGAGATACAAACAAATAGTCTCAATAAAATGGAATTAGTACTTGTCTTTTGCTATAAGAACACAAAGAAAGGGCATTTTGTAATATGACGGCTCACAGGAAGCTACATGGAGGTCATGTCACCTGACCCGAAAGAAGGAAGAGTTAGAATGAGACTGATGAAAAGTATAGTAAGGGGGCATTCCAGGCAGAAGGAGTAACTTGAGCAAATATTTAAAGGAGTGAACTACACAGAGTATACAAAGAATTTAAAATAATATATTGTTATTTCAGTACAAAGAAGCTGGAGAGTAGAGACTGGATCATGGAGGACTAAAAGATCTATAACTTTATTCCATAGCCAATAAGGAACCATCAAAACATTTTAAGCAGAAATGTGACAATGTCAGTCTAGTTTTAGCTATGATGTGGAGAATGGAGCTAAGTAGGGGAGAATTAAAGACCTAGATAGTAAGAAGGCTTAGTGCAAACTTTAAGCCTACTACATTCATTTTCAAACCATGTGTAGACACAGTTGTCCATCCAGTTTGGGGAACAACTATAATTCAGGATCACTTAGACTCCTTTTCTATCAGCCAAGGCATTGGAACAAAGCTGTTAAAATCCCTTCACCTCACTAGATTATAAGGACAAGATAATTGTGGAGCTTGGCCATATAGGTGATATAGGTTAAAGATGAAAGCCCCATCTAAGGTTAGATGTTAAAGAAGCCTCAAAATCTTTTAAAGATTCCTCTACTCAAGAAAGCATTTTACTTGGTCCTTCCCTTGGCAAGCCTAACCAAATAAAATATTGTTGGCAGAAAAACAAATTATACAGTTCATTGCTCAAAGCAATGCAACAAAATCAATTGTATGGATGGCCTTTGTTTGTTTTAAAGTCATATTGAAATTTTTATTGTAATAGCTCAGAGGTCAATCCCAGATCCAAATCATTTCAGAGTTGTGCTAAAGTAGATCTGGAAGTGCATGTATGCAGTTATTTTAATGTGTGTGTGGTGTATGTGTGTGTGTAGAGCTGTGAATTCTGAGTATACAATGAGTGTCAACATTATAGTGAATAAGAAAAGCAATTCCAAGGATAGTATTCTTCACAGTTACAATCTACAAACTAAAGAGTTTTCAGAGTTAGTGTGAACCGAGAGATGGGGAAGAATTGACTTTTTGAAATACCATATTTGGGATGTTTAGAAATTCTATAGGAAGCCCAGTGGAAATTCTGTCTTTGAGGGTAATCTGTGCTTATGTGATACAGTCATGCTCTGGGATTCTTCTGTGTCTTAGAGCTTAGGAAATGGTGGTAAACCCCAGCATTTATCATGATAGCATATTCATCTAATTTGATGACTTTTATTTTAAAAATTTAGAGTTTTGATTTAGGTTAGCTTGTCACATTGACAATAACTAAAAGCCAGCTCAGTCTTTCTCAAGGAAAAAAAATGTTAAAGTAATGCCATTATATCTCATAAAATGCACAGAAGAGAAAAACTATCAAGGAGTTAGATGCATATGATACAGACAATGTAGAATTATTGGTGGATCACATAGGTATTGATTTTATTGTTGCACATCCATTCAACCACTTCTATAAACAGAACATCCATTAAATGACAGATCTGTGAAAACCAACTTTTTTTTCCTTATCCCAAACTTGTTCTGATGATATCAACACTACCATTATCTCCAAGAAGGTCACGTGGCCCATTCTGAAACCACTCAGCATACTTTATTCTTTGCTACCAGTGATTTGTTCAAGGATGGAATTGTGGTCCATGTTTTAACAATTATAACCATCAAAACTCACTCACTTCTGAGAGTTCTTTCTAAACTGTTAGGAAAGTGGACTCTATCAGGATAGAGTAGACCATGGTGTATGTTGGCAAGGGGTATCTGCCCATTGCAGGCACTCAAGGTCTCAGGCTGATAGAGGCTCAATATTGACACAGGCTTCCATGACCACTGAGCAAGGGAAGAGAGAATTTGGCACAGGCTTCCATGACCACTGAGCAAGGGAAGAGAGAATTTGGCAAACTGTAAACACCCCTTTCTCTCTAAGTTTATTGGCCAAAAGAAATCATGAGGCCATGCTTGAGTTCAAATTATCAGAGAAGGATAATTCTATCATGAGCCAGAATGTTATTAAACATTTGTGAGTAGCCCAAATGATTCTCATGGTCTGTTCCTATATTCATAATATTCTGTTTGCTTTTTCTTATTTGAAAAATATATTCACCACCTTCCCACCCAAGGGTCAACTCCAAAATCCCATCTAAATATGGCTTTAAGCCTAAAGTTTGAAATTTCTGTTCTCATCTTTATCTGGTCTGCTTGATACAGAGACTCAAACTAACGAAGAAACACACGCTCAATATGTAATAGTGAAAAGGAAATAGGATCTCTATGATAAATACTTTTATACAGAGAGGTGAATAATGGAGCCACATGGAAAACATTGACCTTGAATACTTCAGAAATAATACACATTGTGAGGCACTTTACTCTGGGGGTTTTGGAAGTTTCTTTGGTTAGGTTCTAATTCTGATCATTCTTCAGTCTTTATCTTCCTTGGCTCTTGGCTGTAACTTTTGGGGAAAACTTCCTTTTCTAGCATCTGACATCATTAGATCTGAAGAGAGCAAGTTGAATATGGATGCCTACCTTGCAGACTAACACTGCTTCTGCCCAACAGAACTTTGGAAACACAAAGTCATTTTCAATCTCAAACAGCCACAGCCTATTTCTTCTTGTGGCAATTCACCGCTTTCAAAATTTAGTGAGTTTCATAGGTATCTGAGTCTGGTTTTCACTTGTGCCATAGCCACACCTACAAGTCTTTTGGAGACATGAGTCTCTTTCTATTTAATTGTGAGGATGGTGAGTCTCTCTGCCCCCATGGATCAGCTTAGTCTCTTATCCCGTTACTCGCTTTATCCTGGGCCATTTTTATCCAACTGAAAGGATTTACTGGATACCACTTTAATGGTAAAGGGAAAGTTGGCTTTACTTTCTACTAAATCCTTGCTTCAAGTGTGAGTTCTAATTGAATTTATAACGCAGAGCCCCTCTCAGTGTTATCTTTTACCCATTAGAAATAAGAGTCAACAGGCCTCTTCCAACCTTGAAATTTCCTGTATTTCTAAACACTCTCCTGTCCCTTTTATTCATGCTTGCAGAGTGGCCAACAATTTCCTGAGTGTAACTATTGCTCACAGTTTTCGTATTGGAGGCCAACAAAAATAAGCAAACACACTAATAACATTCTATTTTCTAATATTTTCACCTAGAATTCAAAATCATTAGGCACATTATATATCTGCAAAGTGACTGTAGACAATTTTGCTAAATCTTTCACCACTTCATAGGTGAATCACGATTTTTCCACTTCAAACATTTTTCTCACCACTTTCCAGCAGGCCCTGAAGTCAACGCCACATATATTAGCTTTTCTGTTTCATAACATCTCATTTCAGTGCCTATTTTTATAGTAGTCAGGACAGGCTCCATTATACCACTGTAATAATCAACCCCTAAATATTTACAAATTAAAGCACGAATGCTTATTTTTTCACCCATTCTGCATGCTCATGATGGGTGAGCAAAGAGGGTCTGCACATTGTAGGCTATCAGGGGCCAGGCTGATGAAGGCTCTCACTTGACAGATGCCTTAGGTGCTTACATAGGCTGGGAAAACACAATGTCAAAAATCATACACTAGTTCTTAAAGCACTGTTTCTTTCTCTCTCTTTTTCTATCTCCACTTGAATTTAGCATTTGGGCTTCTGAAAGGTCTGTGGGTAATTTGAGATCATTAGTTTGTCCAAGATGATCCAATTAAGTGGAAGGTATACCTGAACTTGAAAGATAACAAAACAGTTCAGATTACATTATTGTATATGAGTCCTGATTTTGTTGTGCCTAAAGCCAGATGACTCCTGGGGATTTCATTATGTTAAGTTACTGGCATATTCAACTGAAATCTTACCAAATAGGAGAAGGCAAAGTGCAGCCGGGTTTCAGGCACAGCTACAACTTGGCATTCGAAGTTCCTGCACGTTCTGTCTTTGCGTCTCTTTATGTATCAACCTCATTTTTTCTATTGCTAGAAGCTAACCTTCTCCTCAAGGTATAAAGAGTGTTTTCCATAAATGCTTGATTTTTAATATCGAAGCTCAGTCCATAGTGTAAAACTTCCTTTTCTCTTTTAGATCCATGTACCAAAATCCTAGGGAAAGAATCGTTCATTAGCTGAAATTAAGAAAGTGCCCTTTGGGAGGCCAAGGCGGGTGGATCATGAGGTCAGGAGTTCAAAATCAGCCTGACCAATATGGCGAAACCCCATCTCTACTAAAAATACAAAAGTTAGCCAGGCGCAGTGGCAGGTGCCTGTAATCCCAGCTACTTGGGAGGCTGAGGCAGGAGAATCACTTGAACCTGGGTGGCAGAGGTTGCAGCGAGCTGAGACCGCACCACTGCACTCCAGCCTGGGTGACAGAGTGAGACTCTGTCTCAAAAAAAAGAAAAAGAAAAGAAAGTGCCTAACACAGTAAACATAGTACCCAAACTGTTTCTTTTTTCTCTCTCTTTTTTTTTTTTTTTTTTTGAGACAGAGTCTTGCTCTGTCGCCCAGGCTGGAGTGCAGGGGCACAATCTCAGCTCACTGCAACCTCCACCTCCCGGGTTCAAGTGATTCTCCTGCCTTAGCCTCCCAAGTAGCTGAGACTACAAGGATGCGCCACCACACCCAGCTAATTTTTGTATTTTCAGTAGAGACGAGGTTTCACCATGTTGGCCAGGATGGTCTCGATCTCTTGACCTGGTGATCTGCCCGCCTCAGCCTCCCAAAGTGCTGGGATTACAGGCATGAGCCACCGTGCCCAGCCCCGAACTATTTCTTAGAGAGCTAACCAGTATGACTAGATCTTGAGATGAAACCTCTGACCCCCTTAAAACAATAAATAATTAACAGGGGCTAAGGATGAGGTTTGACATGGCTGTTCCTATGGAAATCACATGGATCAGTAAGCTTGAGGTCACAATTCACAGGAGATGGCAGCTCCTGGATAAACAATTTGAAGACTGCCCAACAGGTGGCTTTCCTATCAAATATTAAAGTAATATCAGGCTGGGTACAGTGGCTCACACCTGTAATTCCGGCACTTTGGGAGTTCGAGGCAGGCAGATAACACGAGGCCAGGAGTTTGAGACCAGCCTGGCCAACATGGCAAAACCCTGTTCTCTAATAAAAATACAAAAATTAGCAAGGCTGGTGGTGCCTGGCCCCCAGCTACTCGGGAGGCTGAGGCAAGGAGGATCATTTGAACTCAGGACGGGGAGGTTGCAGTTAGTCGAGACTGAGCCACTGTACTCAAGCCCGGACAAGGGCAAGATCTCGTCTCCTAAATAACTAAATAAATAAAGTAATATCAAATGAAACAAATAACTTTAAATCTAATCAAATATTCAAGTCATCCTTATTTCTACAATTTTGTTAAAATTCTAAAATTATAAGATATTTTGTATCTTAGCAACCTTGTCTGAAGAAGCTGTTATTTTATACTTGTTGATGGGCCATTTAATAATAGCCCATTTATACTGAATTTATACTGAATTTTGTGATCAATGAATAAAAATTGCATATAAATTTTATTAATATTAAAAGTATTTATTAAATGTCTACAATATACTTGCAACTATTCTAAATATCAAAAATGTATATTGTATATCCTACCTAACAAATAAAACTTTAGAAGTAAATTTTATTTAAACATTTTATCATTGGATATAATCATAGTTAAATAAAGTCTGTTAAACAATTTAAACTGTATTTGATGTATTTATGACGGCTATAACAAATTTCCACAACCCAATGAAACAACACAAATGTATTCTCTTACAGTTTTGACTGTAAGTCTGACATAGGTTTCCTTGAACTAAAATCAAGGTGTTAGCAATGCTATGTTCCTTTCTGGAGGATATCAGGGAGAATCTGTTTCTTTGCAATTTTCCAGCTTATGAGAGGATACTCATATTTCTTGGCCCATGGCCATCTTCAGAACCAGCAACATTGAATCTTTCTGATCCTTCTTATAAAGTCATATATTCCTCTGAGTGCTGCAGAAAAATGTTCTCTAATCTGAAGGACTCATGTTTAGTTTGAGCCCTCCTGGATAATCAAGCATATTCTTTGATCTAGAGTCCTTTCCTTAATCACATTTGCAGAGTCCCTTTTGCCATGTAACATACCATATTCACAGGTTATGAGGACTTGGAAGTGAATATTTGAAGGGGGAATGAGAGAATTATTCTGCCTACCATGATGTACCCGATTCATTTGGATGCTTCAAACACCTTAAAAAGTAGACAAAACCACACAAATACAAGCATGACAAAATGTTCTATACTTACACAAATTTATTCTAAAAATAACACCAGTGTTTTAAGAAGTTTGTCTTTATTTTAAACTAGTTTTATGCCATCTTAAAATAATGAGAGGCTTAGCTCAAGATCTTTTTAGGGTATCAGAAAAATTACTATGAAACCTTTTGGTAAGTTCAGTAATTCTACTAAGAAAGAGAATTCTTTCTTAGACTAGCTAAGGTAACAGAATCTGAGTCACTGATCAATTGATTCTTGATCAGGGCTCAGGATTTAACTGACTTCTTCCAAGGTGATTCAAATTAAAGTCACTGGCACTGAGGCCAACCTTGCCCTTTTTATAGATAAATTGCACTTGTTACATCAATAAGACTTTTTCTTTAAGGTCCGTGCTTCTAGAATAGATTTAAGTTTTCTCCAGTTGGGATCTCCTGCCAAAGTGATAGATTTTTAAAGCCCTGCTTAGTTCGCGTTACATAACTCATTGTTCTGTCAGTTTGACATATTGACCTGTTCTCTTAGAATTCTTTAAAAGTTGATGAATTCCTTTTTAACATAGTATTACAATTAGCAGGGCCATCCAGAGGTTTTATCTCCTAGAAAATAAGGAATTGAGTCTATGCAGTTAAATATGTTTTTTTGAGAAATATGCCTAATTTGTTATCCAGGGACATTGATAATTATATACAAACTTATTCTTCCTTCTGATACAATAGAGTTCTCAGATTTCAAGGACTATTATTTGTGAACTTACTACTCTCTGTGTTTATTCTTTACTGTTTATCTGGATATAAATATACACTATAGGCAGATTCCTAATGAATACTATAAACTTTTTTTTTTTTTTTTTGAGATGGAATCTCACTCTGCCACCCAGGCTGGAGGGCAGGGGCCTGAGCTCACTGCAACCTCTACCTCCCGGGTTCAAGCGATTCTCCTGCCTCAGCCTCCAGAGTAGATGGGATTACAGGCACATGCCACCATGCCCTGCTAATTTTTGTATTTTTAGTAGAGATGAGATTTTGCCATGTTGGCCAGGCTGGTCTCAAACTCTTGACCTCAGGTGATCCGCCCGCCTCAGCCTCCCAAAGTGCTGGGATTATAGGCGTGAGCCACTGTGCCCAGCCTATAAATATTTTTTAAAACATGCATGTACACACATACAAATATATACATATGCATTTTATCTATCTATATACCTCTACTTAGGAAAAATAAATTCAAAACAAGGAGTACTATTTAAAATATTTAACAACTAGAAGAGTTCAAAAGCCAATTCATCAAAACAGATGCCACCTCATAAAGGATGGATACTAGCCATAAACATCCACTGGTACATCCACAACAATGAATGCCTATTGAATATTAAGCTTTTTTACACTCTATATTTTCTCATTTTCAAGAACATGTGACCCTTAACAAACTAAAATTATTTTAATAAATCATAATAGCTTTGATTGTTGTTGTTACTGTCATTATTTTTACTGATATTGTCCTCAGATTTCTTAATAAATGCAAACCCCTTAAGTTAGCTCCTTTTTTCCTTCCAGCACTCATCTCTCAAGGAATTCTGACTCCTCGTATTAGAGAAGATTGTTGGATGCCCAAATCAAGGGGTAAAATGCATGAGGGTTGGTAGTGGTTAAAATTGTCTCTTTAATTGGACCACTTGTGGAAGAGCTGTCAGAGATTTTAAAGTTACTGGTTATTACAAGCATTCCAATGTATTTGTTGGTGTGTGATCCCCCTCTTTAAAAAAAATTAGTGTTTATACTTTAAAACTTTCTACTACAAAAACACCTCAAAATATATTAACATCCAAACACCTTTTCCTAGTTCTTAGAGAAGTTCTATGTTCTTTGTTCTTATCTTTCTAACTTTTCAATGGTGCACAAGTCCTTTAAACTTGAGAAATCTGATGGTTTTAACATATATTTATGAAACCACATTAACAACACTAATGATATTTAGTAGTCAATTTGGTTAGCTAATTGGGAGAGACACCATAAAAATGACGTAAACTGTGCTGAATGTCTATCGACACTGATAGACAAGTCATGACATTTATGATCAATGGAATTGTGAAAAGACCTACTTAGGCTAAATAATCATTTTTTCCTGTTTTTAAAAGCCATGAAGAGAAAATTAGGTGAATAGTGATTAGGAGCTTAAAAGCTTAACAAATGGCACCATTTAGATTTAAAATGCATAATCCTATTTCAAAGTTCATCTATTTAGACTCTGTATTTTCTCAAATTTTAAAAAGCACCTGCAGCACCCTGGAAATACATATTTAATACTATACCATTATGGCCGGTCATTGAGAACAACATTTTGAAAATGTATTCTCTAAAGCAATGAGGTCTTCTGAAGAATCTACTAATTGAAGTATATTAGTCCATTTTTATGCTGCTGATAAAGATATACCCAAGACTGGGAAGAAAAAGAGGTTTAATTGGACTTACAGTTCCACATGGCTGGGGAGGCCTCAGAATCATGGTGGGAGGCAAAAGGCACTTCTTACATGTTAATAGCAAGAGAAAATGAGAAGGATGCAAAAGCAGAAACCCCTGATAAAACCATCAGATCTCATGAGACTTATTCACTATCATGGAACAGTATGGGGGAAACTGCCCCCATGATTCAAATTGTCTCCCACTAGGTCCCTCCCACAACACATTGGAATTATGGGAGTACAATTCAAGATGAGATTTGGGTGGGAACACAGAGCCAAACCATATCATTCCACCCCTGGCCCCTCCAAATTCCATGTCCTAACATTTCAAAACCAATCATGCACCCGAAAGTCTTAACTCATTTCAGCATTAATCCAAAAGTCCACAGTCCAAAGTCTCACCTGACACAAGACAAGTCCCTTCCACCTATGAGCCTGTAAAATCAAAAGCAAGCTAGTTACTTCCTAGATACAATGGAGGTACAGATATTGGGTAAATACACCCATTCCAAAGAGGAGAAATTGGCCAACACAGGGGTTACAGGGCCCAAGCAAGTCCAAAATCCAGAGGAGCAGTAAAATCTTAAAGCTCCGAAATGAACTCCTTTGACTCCAGGCCTCACATCCAGGTCATGCTGACGCAAGGGGTGGGTTCCCATGGTCTTGGGCAGCTCCATCCCTGTGGCTTTGCAGGGTACAGCCCCCGTCTTGGCTGCTTTCACAGGGTGGCGTTGAGTGTCTGCAGCTTTTCCAGGTGCACAGTGCAAGCTGTCAGTGGATCTACCATTCTAGGGTCTGGAGGACCGTGGCCCCCTTCTCACAGCTCCACTATGGCGGTGCCCCAGTAGGGACTGTGTGTGGGGACTCTGGCCCCACATTTCCCTTCCACACTGCCCTAAATAGAGGTTCTCCATGAGGGCCCCGCCCCTGCAGCAAACTTTTTGCCTGGGTATCCAGGAGTTTCCATACATCTTCTGAAATCTAGGTGGAGATTCCCAAACCTCAATTCCTGACTTCTGTGTACCCACAGGCTCAACACCAAGTGGAAGCTGCCAAGGCTTGGGGCTTCCACCCTCTGAAGGAACAGCCCAAGCTGTACTTTCGCCCCTTTTAGTCATGGCTAGAGTGGCTGGGACACAGAGCCTCATGCCCCTAGACTGCACACAGCATGGGGACTTTGGGCCGGCCCACCGTTTTTTCCTAGATCTCCAGGCCTATGATGAGAGGGGTGCTGTGAAGACCTCTGACATGCCCTGGTGACATTTTCCCCATTGTCTTGGGAATTAACATTTGGCTCCTCATTACTTATGCATATTTCTGCAGCAGCTTGAATTTCTCCTCAGAAAAAGGGTTTTTCTTTTCTGTCATATTGTCAAGCTGCGAATTCTCCAAACTTTGGTGCTCTGCTTCCCTTATAAAACTGAATGCCTTTCACAGCACCCAAGTCACATCTTGAATGCCTTGCTGCTTAGAAATTTCTTCTACCAGATACCCTAAATCATCTCTCTCAAGTTCAGAGTTCCACAGATCTCTGCGGCAGGGGCAAAATGCTGCCAGTCTCTTTGCTAAAACGTAACAAGAGTCACCTTTGCTCCAGTTCCCAACAAATTCCTCATCTCCATCTGAGACAACCTCAGCCTGGAACTTATTGTCCATATGACTATCAGCCTTTTGGGCAAAGCCTTTCAACAAATCTCTAGGAAGTTTCAAACTTTCCACCTTATCTTCTTCTGAGCCCTCCAAACTGTTCCAACCTCTGCCTGTTACCCAGTTCCAAAGTCGAGTCCATAGTTTTGGGTATCTTTTCAGCAGCACCCAACTCTGCTGGAACCACTTTACTGTATTAGTCCATTTTCATGCTGCTGATAAAGACATACTCAACACTGAGAAGAAAAAGAGGTTTAGTTGGACTTACAGTTCCACATGGCTGGGGAGGCCTCAGAATCATGGTGGGAGGCGAAAGGCACTTCTTACATGGCGGCAGCAACAGAAAATGAGAAGTATGCAAAAGTGGAAACCCCTGATAAAACCATCAAATCTTGTGAGAATTATTCACTACCACGAGAACAGTATGAAGGAAATTGCCCCCATTATTCAAATTATCTCCCACCAGGTCCCTCGCACAACATGTGGGAATTATGGGAGTGCAATTCAAGATGAGATTTGGGTTGGGAAACAGAGCTGAACCATATCATGAAGAAAATAGTATTTTATTTTATAATACTTCTCCTCTGTTGGCAATATGAGTAAGTGGCTATTAAAAATAGTAGGCACACTAATTGTTCTATATTTAGGAGAGTTTAGTCTCTCCAATTTGGCCTCGAATTTTTAAAATAATTTTCCCATCTATTCATTCAATAAAAATGTATCTATAATTTATTGTTCTACATTCTGGGAATAAAATGATGAAGAAAGCATGTACCTTTTTCCTGAAATTCTATTTTATCTTTTCCTAGCCATACCTAGCCTCTTCCTTACAGATATTTCTTACTAAGATTTTAGAATCCTGCTCAGGAATTATATTCTCTAGACACCTTTTATTGATCTCCCAAGACTAGAAAATATCCTTCCCGTGTGCTTTCATGATACTGTATTTAGCTTTTTGTAGTATTTTCATCCTGGATGGTCATTGGCTGTGTTCTTCTCTGAATTCCCAGTACATCCTGCCCCCCTTTAGTGACCTATATGCAATTGCTGTATCATTCACCATGGTGTTCACACTCCCTAAATCCTAAAACAATCAGATCTCCATCAATAGTTATTGGTTGAATTAATGCCAGTTAATGTGGGTGGTGTTCCTATTTCCCAAACTTTTATTCTTTAATGAATCAGTACTATAGTCATAAGTACGGCAGAAGTTTAATCATAGCACTGTGGTAGGCACAGAATGTAAAGAGAGCACAAAGGGGAGCCAGAGAACTGGCTCTTGGTGAGCCATGGTCATTTCAAGTGGGAAGTGATAGCTATACCATCTACATGTAGAGGGCTAAATATATTTACGGGGAAACTTGATCAGTGCTTCCCGAGGGCTTGAGTTTCTTGGTACCTTACCAAAACTATAAATAGATTTTTCCTGTCCCAATCTGAAAGACAGGTGAGAGCAGAAAGCCTCTCCATTTCAAGTTAATCAATGTTTTACTGTAAATTGAACAAACAAGTAGACAAATAACCCACACCAAGGGCTAAGTGAATGAAAGACAGGAGCTTATCGACTGTCACAGCTGTCAAAGTGCCCCAATTTCACACTCTGGGACTCTTCCTATTATGGAATGGAAAAGATACCAACTTGGTATCATTTCAGGAGAAATGCAGGCTGAAATGAACCTGGTTTTCATAACTTGTCTTAAGAACAGATAACTAAAGGCAGAGATTAGAAATTCACATTAAAATAGAGAGAGAATGACATCTACTGGTTGAGAGAATTTGGCCTTGTAGATAGCTAGTAATGGTTTTTCCCCATAAAGTTGAAATGTTTTCCTTTCTTCTTATATATATATAACTCCAAATAATGATAATGGGAATTATCTACACACAATGAGGGGGAAATTGACCTATTATCTGTGCAGTTCTAATAATAATGAAAGAAAGTTAATCCTTAATTGGCTGGCATTGCAGTTAGAAGTATTTTGCAAATGACTTTAAATGACATTGACTTAATTTCTGTACATGTATAAGCAGTTTATGACAGTCTCTTGTACAAAACTGTCATCAACTTTCTTGCAAATAAAAAAGAAATTTGTAGGTGACAATTTTAAAAATCATTTATTGTGCAAATCATAGGAGCTTTCCGTACTAAAAAATTATTTGCATTCCTAAAACCAATTATCAAGGGAAAAATCTGCCTTGGGATTGGTGATAAGTTTTTAGGTATATCACCCAAAGCATAATCCCTAAAAAAAACTGACAAATTGGACTTCATTAAATTAAAAACTATTCTGTTAAAGACATTGCTGAGACAGTGAAAAGACAAGGCTCAAGGCTCAGACTGGGAGAGATTATTTTAATTTTTTTGTATATTCAAACAGTCTACACTGAGATTCATCCCCTTCTTGTAAAGAGAGTTGAGGTTTTGTATGGCATTTAGATGTATTCATGGGTTGTCACAGCTGAAGGCAAGGCCGCAATCAAAGGAAAGTCCAATTTTTTAAAAAAAATAAAAACTTCCGATGAGAAGTGAAAAGCTCAAATATTAACATTTATTCTCTTATCTAGAAGAACAATGTAACAGGAACTAATTAATTTGAGCAGATATTTTGCTTTAAGTATTTTAGAGAAATTTTTATTTTAAGATAAAGAGAAATCCTTTCTAGGCCATTGATATTAAAATAAACAATCATTGAATTTCAACCTTTCCAGCATTTGCTTTCTTCCCATAAATAACATTAAAGGACACAAATTCAAATCAATAGTATCAAACTTACCTAGATAAATCTAAGTCAAACATTATGCCCTAACTAATCTCCACATCTCAAATTTACACATTTCAAGAGTCAGAATTGCAGTCTTATTACTACTGATTTTCTTCAACAATCAATTAGGGAACAAAGGACTGTGTTTAAAATCATAGCAGAATAAAAACATATACAGTCCTGCATCACTTAACAATGGGGATATGTTCTGAGAAATGTGTCATTAGGTGATTTAATTGCTGTATGAACATCATAGAGTTACTTACATAAACCTTGATGCTGTAGCCTACCACACACCTAGGCTGTAGATATAGCTCTTTGTTCCTAGGCTACAAATCTTTACAGTATATTACTGTACTGAAAACTGTAGGCAATTATAACACAATGGTAAGTATTTGTGTATATAGGCAGACTATACCACTAGTGTTCAGAAAAAAAGGGCTAAGAATACCAAATATTGGTTAATGGATGCATAATCATACACAATCAAGTTGACAAGTCTGTTATACATAAAAGGAAATAGCAAGATCACTTTAAATTCTTGTTGATAAATGAAGCACTTCAGTTTGTATTTTATTTTAGTATTATCTACATCTGCCCATAGGAAAACCACTTTTTCCAAATAAAATTTACTTTTATTTATCTGAGCATAAAAGCCATTTTATGTGGATATTACTTGGAAAGCATTTACAACCATAAATTTTAAAAATTACACATAATCTCACCACTCCAGAAAAATGCTA
The DNA here is from genome assembly GCF_000001405.40 of Homo sapiens. NCBI lineage: Eukaryota > Metazoa > Chordata > Mammalia > Primates > Hominidae > Homo > Homo sapiens. The sequence goes on from NC_000005.10 coordinate 162,839,121, forward strand.
TCAACATTGTATTTTATTTCAAACATCAACATTATTTGAAAAATTAAATTGGGATTATAGTACACATACTATTTCATCTAGTTTATAATATATAAACTATTTCTTCTCAAAATATCTTAATGTTACAAGTTCTCTCCCATGTCAATGAAACATTTTTTAGTCCCTAATGGCTGCTTAGTCTTTCAGTATTTGATGAACCACAACTGATCTAATCAATTTCTCTAAAATTAAACATGTAGACTGCTTCAAATATTCACTATTACAAGAAATGCTAATGTTTCTTGCTTTTATTGGTCTTTTTGGCCATCGAACTACATTACCATTGGTTCTGTTTTTTCCAGAATTTCAGCAGTCTTACTACCCTTTTCCATTCTAATTATGGCTACTTTTGTTTTTCTACTAACATGATATTTGATCCAATGCTTCTAATTGTCAGGGTCAAAAGTGAAACCTTATCTTTTGAGTTCCCTTATTTAACAGATAATTTGACACATTTCTCGAAAAACCCAAACTCCCCCCCACCCACTGCTTCATTTGATAAGGTAACTTTGAATTTGTGATACAAATTTTATGTAATCATTTTTACTGTATAAGTTTTCATTTAAAACATTTTAACATTTGCATGTGGTTTGAGACCCACAAGAACAGCAAAGCTGCTTACGTAACTTTTTTAAAGGTACAATTAATATATTTCTGAAACCAGAGGCCAGAGGTGAGTGGTCCAGATGGCTGGGGCTGCTCAGTTTCATCAGGTCAGGCAGGAGTGTGTCTTCCTCCCATTGTTTTGTTGTTGTTGTTTTAGTTTTATTTGGATTTTGATTGACACACAATAATTGTACATATTTATGGGTACAGTGTGATATTTTCATGCATGTATACATGATGTAATGATCCAATCAGGGTAATTAGTGTATCCATCACCTCAAATGCTTGCCATTTTTTTTGTTGTGAGAACATTCAAAAGTCTCCCTTCTAGCTATTTGGAAGTATACAATACATTGTTGTTGACTATAGTCACCCTACTGTGCAACAGAATGCCAGAATTTATTATTCCTAACTGTAACATTTTTGGTGTACCCATCACCCATGCAGTGGACACTGGACACAATGTGTAGTCTTTTTAAACATTCCATGTATGAGTGAGATCATCTGTCATAGGTCCTATTGTGCTTAGCTTATTTCACTTAACATAATGTTCTCTAGGTTCATTCATGTTGTCACAAAGGACAGGATTTTGTTTTTTTTGGCTGAATAGTATTTCATTATGTAGGCATACCATATTTTCAAAAATCCATGGATCAATCTGTGAACATTAGGTTGATTCATTATCTTGGCTATTGTGAATAGCATTGTGGTAAATGTGGGAGTGCAGATATATTTTTGACATACTGGTTTAAATTCCTCTGGATATACACCCAGTAGTGGGATTGTTGAATCACATAGTAGTTTTATTTTTAATTTTTGAGAAACCTCCATATTATTGTCTGTAATGGCTGTGCTAATTTATATTCGCACCCACAGTGTATGAGTTCCCCTTTCTCCACATCCTCTGCAGAATTTGTTACCCTTTGTCTTCTGATAACTTGTTTTCGTGTCCACCCCCTGCCATGTTATACCACAACTCTCTCATTATGGAGAACTTAAATAGCAGTTTTACTGAGATATAATTCACATAAAATTCACTCTTTCAAAGTGTACCATTCAGTGGGTTTTAGCATATACACAGAGTTATTCAGCAGAGTTCTTAATAATTCAGTCCCAAACCTATTAAGTAGACTAAAGCAAGTAAGTTTTTATGCATTGGCAGAGGGGACATGTGGTGGCCCAGAGAGGAGTAGCCTAACGTGTTTCCACAAATGGGAAGCTCCAAGCAGAATATTAGATCCCGAATGGGGTATGGGGGACAAACCTGAAGAAGGGTAGTATGAAGTGCCAGAGCCCACCAGGATGAGAAGGGCATCCATGGTGGGGAGAGGGAGGATCAGTGTAGCCAGATGCTTCTGGCACAGCCTGAAAAGGATGAGGCAAACATCCCCATAAGAGTGTGGTCCAGCACGATGTGAGCCCAGCAGGGTGAGGAGGTGGCTATATAGTGTGAGCAGGCATCCAGGAGTGGGAAGTCAGAGATGACCAGAGTGAAGAGGGCATCAACACGGAGAAGGGATGGCAATAGCAGTAGGAGATTGGTTATGTACAGGGAATTGGCCAAATAAGTACACATAAAAGAATAACAGGAGACAGTCTTATGTCATAGAACAGTGGTATAAATAGGCAAAAATGATGTCTAGTATGATCCCTGAGGTGACAGAGTGAAATTGGAAATATATGTGAATTTATGGTTTTCAATATATAACAATAGATATAGAAATAAATGTGGAGGTAAGTCCATATGCATGTAAGTGTGCATATACTTATTGCATTCACTGACATGGCCTGGAACCAAAAACACCCCTAACAACAAGCATACCTACAGCTCAGCTCCTGGTTTTTTTAATACTAATCTCCACCAAAAGGCACTCAGACTTGTTATAAAAATGACTGCTTCCAAAACTGAGGCAGTGAAAGTAAAAGAGGAGCCTGGGACATGTTTTGTGCTAGAAAGCAAGCCAGTATTAAAGGAATGAGTAGGCCATGTCAAAGGGTCATAGGGAAAGCTTGAAGGGGCTCTTTTTGGCCAAATCTGAAGCAACCTGACTATCAAAATAACCAAAGTAATGACTTAGAAAGCATTGGCAAAAATGGAAAGCCATAAGTCTATAATTTGGAGAAGAATGGGATAGATTAAAAGGCCCCACAAAATATATATTAATTACAAAAGAGAAAATAGTGGCTCGAAGACACCAACTTAATCAGAAGTCAAAGTGAACATCATTAGTAGTTCAGATCAAATTTATGTGTCACCTGATAGGGTGCAGGGAGAAGGACACACCATCACTTCTGCAGCATTCCTGATAAAAATTCACAATTTAATACAGTCATGAGTAAGCAAAAAACAGATACAAACTGAAGGGCATTTGAAAAAATAACTAGTCTCATCTTCAAAAGTGTCAAGGCCATGAAAGTCAAGAAAAATCTGAGGAGAAATTGTTCCAAAATGTAAGAGAGTAAAGGTTCATGACAAGTAAATGCAGTGAAATACTCTGAACTGGGTCTTCTGGCTATAAAAACATACTGGGATAACTGGTGTAACTAGAATAGGATTAGTGTATTTATGATGGTAATATGTCTGTGTTAATTTCCTGATTTTGACAGTTTGCTGTGATGATGTAAAATAATGGTGTATATTCTGCAGGTAAACCAATGTTCTGTTGTTTCAAAAGAATAAAAGATAAATTTCAAAACCACAGGTAACATAAGAAACATTCTAAAGCAATTCATTACACAAAAAAAATGCAGTAAGTACACACTAAAATATTAGGTGGTGAAGGGGCATCAGGTTAGCCCTCTGAAATGTTACAGGAATAAAAAGTAATTTGTCCTTTCCTGTAAATTTGAGATGGTTTCAAAATATTTTAACATTCCAATGAAAAAGGATCTGAATTTCAGATAAATAGTAACATTCAATTCTTTTCATCATCTACAAAAGCCAACATATGACTGCAGGAATTGAAAATAGCTCATAAGGCTCAGGAAGATTGTCTTGTTTGATTTTTCCCACCTACGAGAAAGAAAGCAGAGCCACAAAAGAATTGTGCTTCTTCTTTCTCAGCTTCAAGAGGACATTTGATCATCAAAGCACAACTTTCTTTCTGCCTCTTGCAGAAAATTTTGCCTGCATAACTGCCAAGTAGCTCCTGGATTCAGCACCTAGGACAGTGCTTGGTAGACCATAATAACAGAAATAGTAGCGGTCATAGAACACTCTTACTCAAGGTTATGCAGACAGTGAAGGTCAAAGCCAGAATTTAAAGGTGGATTATTTGGCTTTAAGAGTCCCATTAAACAAATCTTTGTTGACTAAAACTTAATACATTTACTCTTCTTAACTGGGTAGTTTATTAAGCATGAAAAGGCTAATTCTCCTACTGGACTGCTTTGTAAAATCATTGAAGATATAACATTGCTCTGCTTTCTTTAAAAAGCATCTGTATGTAAGACGAACATAAGCCATAATGTTATAGTCAATTTTATATGTCAATTCGACTAGGTGAAGAGGTGCCTAGATAGCTGGTAAAACATTATTTGAGACTGTTTATTTTAGGGTGTTTTCAGAGGAGATTGGCATTAGGATAATTAGATCAAATAAAGAAAATCCACCATTACCAAGGTAAGCTGAGTTAATCCAATTCGTTGAAGGCCTATATAAACCAATAGGTTGGGTGAGGGCAAATTTAACCTCTCTTCTGGAACTGAGACAATCATCCTCTCCTTTCTTCCAACATCAGAGCTCCAGGTTCTTGGGTCTTTGAACTCTGGAACTTGCACCAGAAGCCCATCCAGTCCTCCGGTCTTGGGCCTCAGACTAGGAGTTACACCATCAGCTCTCCTGGTTCTCAAGCCTGTGGACTCATATTGAATTACACCACCAGTTTTCCTGGGCCTCCAGCTTGCAGACAGCATTATCGTGAGACTTCTTAACGCCATAATCATGTGGAACAATTCCTAATTCCCATAATAAATCCCCTCTTATCTCTCTCTTTTTATATTAACTGTTTTCTCTCTAATTCTATGAAAGAACTGACAGGGAGTTGAATATTCCTACTTCATCATGTAGGAATCATACCATGCCCACATTACTGTTTTTGAGTAGTAAAGAGTTATTGAGATAGTAAAATATTATCTCCTTAATTTAGATATATATATATCTCAAAATATATATATATCAGAAGATATATCTTTAATAGATCCATTATTTTCTGTTACTTCATTAAATTCACACTTTGTAAATAAATAGAAATTTTGAAGTTGAAATATTTCATTTATTTTATCTTATAAGTTCACAAATGGAACCAAGTCATTCAAAACTAAATTCTGAAAATGCCATAACATATTAATTAATTTATGCAATAAATATTATTGAACAAGCACTATTCACTAACTCTATTCTAGATGCAGGAGAAATAATTACAAAGGAAAAAGCAGCAGTTAATGTTATATAAAGGTCTCACTAATAAATTCAGTTTTAACAATAAGATACCGAATTTCCAGTCATTCATATATTCATTTATTCACTCACTCAAAAATAGATATATCCTCTACTTCTCTCCAGAGTATGGTTAAAGATATGAGCACAAAGACAACAATAGCAAAAGCAAAATAACAAAAACAGGCTTAAACAAATCACTGAGGAAAATACTCAAAATGTTGTTACAAAATCTAAACAAAAAATTTTTGCAAATTAAATAGAAATGCTCGAGGTCAAAATAAGAATAAGAGGGAAAAGGAACCACTATTGATGCAAAATAACAATAGCTAACATGTTTTCTAAGTGTCGGAAAATTGTATGTTATTATCTCATTAGCTCTTTACTACTCAAAAATGGTAATGTGGAGATGGTATGATTCACTGAGGAATCAAAACTAAATTGAAGTAATATTCAACTCCCTGTCAATTCTCTTATAGAATTAGAGAGAAAACAGTTAATACAACAATTAACTGGAAATCTGGAAAGATGAAGTGGTTCGATTTTTCAACTACAAGTGAATCATTTTCCAAATGTGGTTGTAGGGCAGGTCACTGGTGCTGTTTGGGGAAATATAGAGAATGGTGAATGAACTGAATGTATTCCAATGTTCTGATTGTTTCCAAAGGGAAAAAAAAAAGACAAATTTCCAAACAAAATTCCTGGAAGAAAATTAAATCAATTGATTATATGGAAAATTCATGAGCACTTAAAAAATAAACTAGATCCGTAAGGTTCACTAAAATACTAATGGCAATAGCTCTCATGTATCTCATTTCAAGAGTCTCATTTTGAGTATACTATATGCCAGGTACTATTCTAGTGTCTATGTAAAAATTAATCCATCTAACCCTGCAAATATCCTATGTAATATTAAAAAAGCCATTTTATAGATGGAAAATGGAGACATAGATAGGTTTAATGATTTCTGCAAAGTCATTCATATAAAAATTTGCAGAATCAGAATTTTAATTCAAGCAGAATGATTTTAGAGCCTACATTTTTGATCTACTTTTGTTAGAAAAAGACACAATTATAATGTTATTGGCAATTGCAGAGTACCCCAACATTATTCTATCAGGTGCCTGGCATATACTAAGCATATACTGGTTATTTGTCGAGTGAATGAGCCTTCTAGCTATTTCTATTATTTTTCCCTCAACACCTCTATACATGTTGTTTCCTTTGCCTATAATATTTCCACAAAATCTTTTAAAAAGAGAGCTCATTTTCAACATTTGGATCTGAGCCTGGGTATTCTCTCCACAAATAGACTTCCCTGACTGTCTTTCTAGCATGGACCCCAGTCATATATCTAGACAAATATCCATATATAATCAGGCCTACCTCAACTTGAAATCATGAAATCAACCTACTTTACTTATTTACTTGTTGTTATTTTGTGCTTTCCCAGTACGACTTAGGTGTAAAAGAACAAGAGCCCCGTCTACCATGTTCATAACTCTGTGTTCCTCCAAGGCTTTTAATACATGTTTGATGAATAATTATATGAATGGATGAATAGATGGAAAGAAAAATGGATAAATAATGCATCTGAATTTAAGATGGGAATTTGGTCATAAGTTTTACGGTGTCCAGGTGGGCTATATGTATTTTCAGCTGGTTAAATTACCAAGCCCCCCAAATCTTGAATTTACCAAAATAATAACAGATTAGAAAAGTTCTCTAATTGCATGATAGAGGGTTTAATCTTTAACACTTTTCAAAAGTTTTCTTTTTTTGTTTTGTAAAAACAACTGTGAGGCACCCCCAAGTAGGGGCAGACTGACACTTCACATGGCCGAGTACCCCTCTGAGACGAAGCTTCCAGAAGAATGATCAGGCAGCAACATTTGCTCTTCAGCAATATTCGCTGTTCTGCAGCCTCCGCTGCTGATACCCAGGCAAACAGGGTCTGGAGTGGACCTCCAGCAAACTCCAACAGACCTGCAGCTGAGGGTCCTGACTCTTAGAAGGAAAACTAACAAACAGAAAGGGCATCCACACCAAAACCCCATCTGTACATCACCATCGCCAAGGACCAAAGGTAGATAAAACCACAAAGATGGGGTAAAAACAGAGCATAAAAGCTGAAAATTCTAAAAATCAGAGCACCTCTCCCCCTCCAGAGGAACACAGCTCCTCGCCAGCAATAGAACAAAGCTGGATGGAAAATGACTTTGACAAGTTGAGAGAAGAAGGCTTCAGATGATCAAACTTCTCCAAGCTAAAGGAGGAAGTCCAAACCCATTGCAAAGAAGCTAAAATCCTTGAAAAAAGAATAGATGAATGGTTAACTAGAATAACCAGTGTAGAGAAGTCCTTAAATGACCTGATGGAGCTGAAAACCATGACACAAGAACTACATGGTGCATGTACAAGCTTCAGGAGCCTATTCGATCAACTGGAAGAAAGGGTATCAGTGATTGAAGATCAGGTTAATGAAATGAAGCGAGAAGAGAAGATTAGAGAAAAAAGAGTAAAAAGAAATGAACAAAGCCTCCAAGAAATATGGGACTATGTGAAAAGACCAAATCTACGTCTGATTGGTGTACCTGAAAGTGAAGGCGAGAATGGAACCAAGTTGGAAAACACTCTGTAGGATATTATCCAGGAGAACTTCCCAAACCTAGCAAGGCAGGCCAATGTTCAAATTCAGGAAATAAAGAGAATGCCACAAAGATATTCCATGAGAAGAGCAACTCCAAGACATATAATTGTCAGATTCACTAAAGTTGAAATGAAGGAAAAAATGTTAAGGGCAGCCAGAGAAAAAGTCGGGTTACAAACAAAGGGAAGCCCATCAGACTAACAGCGGATCTCTCGGCAGAAACTCTACAGTCCAGAAGAGAGTGGGGGCCAATATTCAAAATCCTTAAAGAAAAGAATTTTTAACCCAGAAATACACATCCAGCCAAACTAAGCTTCATAAGTGAAGGAGAAATAAAATCCTTTACAGACAAGCAAATGCTGAGAGATTTTGTCACCACCAGGCCTGCCCTAAAAGAGCTCCTGAAGGAAGCATTAAACATGGAAAGGAACAACCGCTACCAGCCACTGCAAAAACATGCCAAATTGTAAAGACCATCAATGCTAGGAAGAAACTACATCAACTAATGAGCAAAATAACCAGCTAACGTCATAATGACAGGATCAAATTCACAAATAACAATATTAACCTTAAATGCAAATGGGCTAAATGCTCCAATTAAAAGACACAGACTGGTAAATTGGATAAAGAGTCAAGACCCATCAGTGTGCTGTATTCAGGAGATCCATCTCATGTGCAGAGACACACATAGGCTCAAAATAAAGGGATGCAGGAAGATCTACCAAGCAAATGGAAAACAAAAAATGGCAGGGGTTGCAATCCTAGTCTCAGATAAAACAGACTTTAAACCAACAAGGATCAAAAAAGACAAAGAAGGCCATTACATAATGGTAAAGGGATCAATTCAACAAGAAGAGCTAATGATCCTAAATATATATGCACCCAATACAGGGGCACCCAGATTTATAAAGCAAGTCCTTAGAGACCTACAAAGAGACTTAGACTCCCATACAATAATAATGGGAGATTTTAACACCCCACTGTCAACATTAGTCAGATCAACGAGACAGAAAGTTAAAACGGATATCCAGGAATTGAACTCAGCTCTGCACCAAGTGGACCTAATAGACATCTACAGAACGCTCCACCCCAAATCAACAGAATATACATTCTTCTCAGCAGCACATCACACTTATTCCAAAATTGATCACATAGTTGGAAGTTAAGTACCCCTCAGCAAATGTAAAAGAACAGAAATTATAACAAACTGTCTCTCAGACCACAGTGCAATCAAACTAGAACTCAGGATTAAGAAACTCACTCAAAACCGCTCAACTACATGGAAACTGAACAACCTGCTCCTGAATGACTACTGGGTAAATAAATAATGAAATGAAGGCAGAAATCAGAAATAAAGATGTTCTTTGAAACCAATGAGAACAAAGACAAAACATACCAGAACCTCTGGGACACATTTAAAGCAGTGTGTAGAGGGAAATTTATAGCACTAAATGCCCACAAGAGAAAGAAGGAAAGATCTAAAATTGACACCCTAACGTCACAATTAAAAGAACTAGAAAAGCAAGTGCAAACGCATTCAAAAGCTAGCAGAAGGCAACAAATAACTAAGATCAGAGCAGAACTGAAGGAGATAGAGACACAAAAAACCCTTCAAAAAATCAATGAATCCAGGAGTTGGTTTTTTGAAAAGATCAACAAAATTGATAGACCACTAGCAAGACTAATACAGAAGAAAAGAGAGAAGAATCAAATAGACGCAATAAAAAATGATAAACGGGATATCACCACCAATACCACAGAAATACAAACTACCATCAGAGAATACTATAAACACCTCTACAAAAATAAACTAGAAAATCTAGAAGAAATGGATAAATTCCTGGACACATACATCCTCCCAAGACTAAACCAGGAAGAAGTTGAATCTCTGAATAGACCAATAGCAGGCTCTGAAATTGAGGCAATAATTAATAGCCTGCTAACCAAAAAAAGTCCAGGACCAGATGGATTCACAGCAAAATTCTACCAGAGGTACATGGAGAAGCTGGAACTATTCCTTCTGAAACTATTCCGATCAATAGAAAAAGAGGGAATCCTCCCTACCTCATTTTATGTGGTCGGCATCATCCTGATACCAAAGCCTGGCAGAGACACAACAAAAAAACAGAATTTGAGACCAATATCTCTGATGAACATCAATGCAAAAATCCTCAATAAAATACTGTCAAAATGAATCAAGCAGCACGTCCAAAAGCTTACCCACATTGATCAAGTGGGCTTCATCCCTGGGATGCAAGGCTGGTTCAACATACGCAAATCAATAAATGTAATCCAGCATATAAACAGAACCAAAGACAAAAGCCACATGATTATCTCAATAGATGCAGAAAAGGCCTTTGACAAAATTCAACAGCCCTTCATGCTAAAAACTCTCAATAAATTAGGTATTGATGGGATGTATCTCAAAATAATAAGAGCTATTTATGACAAACCCACAGCCAATATCATACTGAATGAGCAAAAACTGGAAGCATTCCCTTTGAAAACGGGCACAAGACAGGGATGCCCTCCCTCACCACTCCTATTCAATGTAGGGTTGGAAGTTCTGGCCAGGGCAATCAGGCAGGAGAAAGAAATAAAGGGCATTCAATTAGGAAAAGAGGAAGTCAAATTGTCCCTGTTTGCAGATGACATGATTGTATATCTAGAAAACCCCATCATCTCAGCCCAAAGTCTCCTTAAGCTGATAAACAACTTCAGCAAAGTCTCAGGATACAAAATCAGTGTGCAAAAATCACAAGCATTCTTATACATCAATAACAGACAAACAGAGAGCCAAATCATGAGTGAGCTCCCATTCACAATTGCTTCAAAGAGAATCAAATACCTAGGAATCCAACTTACAGGGGACGTGAAGGGCCTCTTCAAGGAGAACTACAAACCACTGCTCAGTGAAATAAAAGAGGACACAAACAAATGGAACAACATTCCATGCTATGGTTAGAAAGAATCAATATCGTGAAAATGGCCATACTGCCCAAGGGAATTTATAGATTCAATGCCATCCCCATCAAGCTACCAATGACTTTCTTCACAGAATTGGAAAAAACTACTTTAAAGTTCATATGGAACCAAAAAAGAGCCCGCATCGCCAAGTTGATCCTAAGCCAAAGGAACAAAGCTGGAGGCATCACACTACCTGACTTCAAACTATACTACAAGGCTACAGTAACCAAAACAGCATGCTACTGGTACCAAAACAGAGATATAGATCAATGGAACAGAACAGAGCCCTCAGAAATAATACCACACATCTAAAACCATCTGATTTTTGACAAAGCTGACAAAAACAAGAAATGGGGAAAGGATTCCCTATTTAATAAATGGTGCTGAGAAAACTGGCTAGCCATATGCAGTAAGCTGAAACTGGATCCCTTCCTTACACCCTATACAAAAATTAATTCAAGATGGATTAAAGACTTACATGTTAGACCTAAAACCATAAAAACCCTAGAAGAAAACCTAGGCAATACCATTCAGGACATAGGCATGGGCAAGGACTTCATGTCTAAAACACCAAAAGCAATGGCAACAAAAGACAAAATTGACAAGTGGGATCTAAATAAACTAAAGAGCTTCTGCACAGCAAAAGAAACTACCATCAGAGTGAACAGGCAACCTACAGAATGGGAGAAAGTTTTTGCAATCTACTCATCTGACAAAGGGCTAATATCCAGAATCTACAATGAACTCAAACAAATTTACAAGAAGAAAACAAACAACCCCATCAAAAAGTGAGTGAAGGATATGAACAGACAATTCTCAAAAGAAGACATGTATGCAGCCAACAGACACATGAAAAAATGCTCATCATCACTGGCCATCAGAGAAATGCAAATCAAAACCACAATGAGATACCATCTCACACCAGTTAGAATGGCAATCATTAAAAAGTCAGGAAACAACAGCTGCTGGAGAGGATGTGGAGAAATAGGAACACTTTTGCACTGTTGGTGGGACTGTAAACTAGTTCAACCATTGTGGAAGTCAGTGTGGCGATTCCTCAGGGATCTAGAACTAGAAATACCATTTGACCCAGCCATCCCATTACTGGGTATATACCCAAAGGACTATAAATCATGCTGCTATAAAGACACATGCACACGTATGTTTATTGCAGCACTATTCACAATAGCAAAGACTTGGAACCAACCCAAATGTCCAACAATGATAGACTGGATTAAGAAAATGTGGCACATATACACCATGGAATACTATGCAGCCATAAAAAATGATGAGTTCATGTCCATTGTAGGGACATGGATGAAATTGGAAATCATCATTCTCAGTAAACTATCGCAAGAACAAAAAACCAAACACCGTATATTCTCACTCATAGGTGGGAATTGAACAATGAGATCACATGGACACAGGAAGGGGAACATCACACTCTGGGGACTGTTGTGGGGTTGGGGGAGGGGGGAGGGATAGCATTGGGAGATATACCTAATGTAAATGACAACTTAATGGGTGCAGCACACCAGCATGGCACATTTATACATATGTAACAAACCTGCACATTGTGCACATCTACCCTAGAACTTAGAGTATAATTTAAAAAAATGTAAAACCGGAATCCATAAGCTCTAACATAGTTGTCTAAAACATTTTATATTCAATTATTTTTATTTGTTGTAATATTAGTAGACAATCTCTAGAATCATTTCTACAATCAAAAATATTGTTATCATTCAACATAGTACATACTAAGGCTTCACCTATGCTGTTGCTGTTGTTGTTGTTCTGTGTGTGTGTGTACATATGACAAAAAGTTAAACATCGTAAAATAATATACAGAAGAAGAATTTTTTAAATTGTTTTTCAATGACCATGGAAGCCTATGTTGTTACTTTTTAGACATGTTAAATCCAGAAATGTTATTAAAAATAAATTATAGTTTAATGCCATGAATAAATGTTAGATTCACAGGAAAAATGCTGCTTTATAGGCATATACTAAACATTAGAAGATATAAGAAGTCCTACTTTAAAAAGTATACCTCAGGCAGATATTTGAATGAAATTTTCATTCTTCCCTAAACATGAGCATGTCTTCTTAGGTCATGTATAAATGACAATATAAATATAAAGAAATCTGAAAATGTGGGTCCTTTCCCCTCTCTGTTCCTTACTTTCTCCATCACTTGGTATCCTTACTCAGAAGCAGGACAGGGCCCTGGATTCCAAATGTTTTATTCCCCTCTTTCATAATCACTGCACGCCACTGCCCACACACAAACACACTCAACATATTCTTTTCTGATACAATACCATTCTATTGGCTAGAATAAATTGAACAATATTAAAAAGGACTTTTAAGAAGAACTACTGACCTCAGGCAAGGAAGACCTTTTGATGTCCCAAATCATGCATTGTGGGCACTGTCTCTATGCCTAGCCTAAACCTTGTATCCTCTATCTGAGGCTATACGCATTTCAGGTCCTGAGTTTAGTCAACATGGAAAGACTGCCATCTACTGAATTACAGGCAATTAATTTGGAATGTTGATGCATGTTTGATTTAATCTTGCTTGTGGTAACTCAGTTTTGTTTTTTAATAGCAGATATCACTAATTCTGAGCCATTTCAGGGAGAAGGCAAGAGGATGACTAGCATGGAAGTGGTGACTAACCGTAGGTCAATAATAATTTCCACAATAGCCACTTGTTGAGTGACAAAATAAAGCAACAATCAGGTAATTCTCAGTTGAATAAGAATTAGGAAAAACAGAATAACAAATTTATTGGGCTATTTCCTATATACATACTGATTTCCTAATATACATACTGAGATTGTATTGCCCTATTCACCTTTTCTGCCTGCAAAAGCTGTTAACAACCTTTTCCGTGCTGAAACGGTAAAATCAAAACAGTCTGCTAATGGGCAAAAAAAAAAAAAAAAAAAAATCCACAAACAAACTATCAAATCAAAGAGGGACAAATCTTAAAGATTTCTTATGCCTTTCTGTCCTTACATCTTCATTCATGTGAACCTCGCCTCTTGTTATCTACAGCTTCACCAATCTTACCCAATAGATAAAAGTAAAAAGCTTTCCCCAAATTCAGATTAGAGCAAGCAAACAACAGTCAAATTTTTTACAATAATAGGAATTATTTATTATGGGCCACAACATAAAAAAAAAAGATTTTTCTTCACCAAATATGATTATCTGAGGTTTAAAGAAAAGTTAGTGTTGAGAAATCAAATATCAACTCATTAGAGAAAATAGTAGATCATCCTCAAATTCACTATTCATGAATACTGAAGTTCATTAGCTGAAACAGAAAGCACAGACGCAGAAACTACCTAATTTACAGAAAGGTTACCTGAATGATGCCAAGAACTTTCCAAAGACAAATAAAAGCTTGATTAATGGCTCAATGGCCAATGAAGCTCATTTAAATTCACTCATGGGGGAAAATGTAATTTTCAAGCTAAGCTAATAAAATCTCAGTTTCTTGTACTAAATTAACTTTATTAACTTCGTCGTTTAAATTCATGATGACTTAACATCTAAAATATGTTTACTGTTAAAAACTCAATAGTTTATTTCATTATTTTAATAAGTCATTAATCAAATACCAAAAAAAATCCTCTAAAGTCATGCTTGCCAATGTGTTAATGTGTAGGTTCCTGTGGAAATGGCCTGATTCCTGCATGCGTGCTAATAACTATTTCACCATTATTGTAAATTTTCAACAAGTGAACAAGTGTATGAATTTCGCATACAAATAAATTAAAGCTCTCAAGTTACTTATGAAGAGCCAAAGTACTGTGTTTGCTACTAAATCTGTAAAGATTCCACTTTCCCAGAAAATGACAGGCATATAGTTTTGGTAGTTTTCTTCCTGGTAAAAATACTAAAAATAGCAGCACAAGTTAGTGAGACCTAATAATATCTTAGAAGATGCATACTAAAGAATTTAGGAATAAAGAATTCAAAGTATGTGATTTAATTTCTAAGTATTCAACAAGATAGACAAATAAAGTAAATCTGTAAGAATATTTGCTTAACAATCACAATAACAAATACCAATTATTGTTAAATATAGATTATATGTGTGTGTATATATATATATACATTTTTCTTTCTTTCAATTTTTCTATATGTTTAGAAATTTAGGTGACACATATTAGGGACAGGAAATAGCAGAAACCTCAAATAGCAGAGTTTCTCTTTTGCATCTTTGAGTAATGCTCAGTCTCAAAAATGCCATTTTTGAGTGCTATTGTTTAATGTCTCGATCTAAACATATATTTTTATTATTATGCTCTAATATCAGAATTGGTGATACCAAGAGTATAGGTATATATCAATAAAGATTTGCTGTCCACAGATATTTTAGGGTCTTATAATTGTTAGAAAGCCCAAATAGGTTGAAAGCTGCTTGTTTACTATACAAAGTTGAGCATCAAAATGACTAAAAAGGACTGAAAAACAGAAATTCGAATTACCAGCCAAAGAGCTGGGTAAACATCCCCCTACTAATAAAGCATTACTTTCAATTGGAGCTCATTCTAGTTAGCAAAACCTTAAAACTAAACTCTGGAAAATAAAGTAAATAAGTACCTCAGCACATTGATGCTTACATACACCAGGCAAGGACAGACGGTCATTTTTAAAAGTAGTCTCAATTTGCACTTCTAAAATATAAAAGGGAGGAGCTCTGCAGACCAGCTCCCCAGGGAAAGGAGTGAAAATTCTTTTTAAAAGTATTTAAAGTATCTGACCATATTCTTAAGGGCATACAGGAAAATGAAGAAATATTTAATCAAGAAAATCCACTGAAAATCAGTAAGAACCGTGAAAGTCTGGGGAATCTGAAGCATGAGCTGCTCCCTCCTTCCTCCCACCCAGCCTAGCATGATGGAAACTCCATTACAATCTAATGTAGCCATGAACACAGAGCTCCCTCTTTATCAGCAACCAATCAAAAGTTTTCGTATTGTTGCTACATTCCCAGGAAGAACTGGATGTCAGCATTTCTCATCCCATCCCTCACCCACAGCTATATGTTATAGAAATTAAATTTCAGGGAGTGCAGTTGAGAGGGCAAGAGCTCTCCTTATGCCTAACCCTCACTTGTGAGGCAGAGGATACTGAAAATAATAGGGCCCTAACTGCCCTCACCTGGTTCATCTGTAGGGCAAAGAATCTATGCCAGAGAGCCCTACCAAGAAGACAAAAGACAACTTCATGGGTATCACACAGAGAGAAGCATGCCACTGTCCTCATCACCGGTTCGGAAGCCCTGGCTCAGAGACTTTCCCGAGGGAAAAGGCAAGCCATAAAACAGATAGTTCCAAAGCTCTCTCCAAAGAAATGCCTAACCAAGCTCTTTTGATGGAAAGTAATTAATGGGAAATTGTTAACTTTATTAGAGATATAAACTAAACCATTGACCAGCTAGCTTACCAGAGAAAATGAGTTAAGGCCCTTCCCGGGACTAGAAAACAACTCAAACACTGACCTCAAAAATTACCCTGAAAAGGATCTTAGTTAAAGTGGATCAAGTATGTAGAGAAATTTATGAACCAAGGCATTGTTGAAAATAATAAATCAATTAAGTGGAACTTAGTGAAGCTTAACAGCTGGATGTGGTGGTAGTGAGGAAGGATGGTCAAACAGAGGCCTGCTAAAACCATTATCATTTCAGAATAACTGTGTACATTCCGAAGGCTGAACCCTCTGAGTAACATTAGAGGATTCACAATGCAAGAGAAATAGACCTTACTCAACTAGTCCATCCGATGATTAAATAAGTAAGCAAATGACAAAGTCCAAATGAAGACCAGAGTCACTATATTAATATAGTATAAATGTCACTATATTATTAATGTATTATATATAATATTGTATATTAACATATTCTATATTAATACATTGTTAATTCCCTGGAAGAGCTGGATATCAGCATTTCTCATCCCATCCGTCACCCACAGCTATATGTCATAGTTATTAAATTTCAGGGAGTGCAGTCGAGAGGGCAAGAGCTCTCCTTACACCTAACCCTCACTTGTAAGGCAGAGGATGCTGAGAATAATGGGGCCATGAAATAATAGGGCCTATAGAATATTATTCTGTATTAATATATTATTAACATATCATGTATACTATATATTATATAGTATTACAATATATAAATATATTATGTTATATATTAGCATATATGTTTATAATATATTAATATTAGTCATTATATTGACTAATCTAAATTAATAAATATATTTAGTAAAATATAATAAATTATTATATATTTTCAGCTTTCTAGCCAGTTTTCCCAGCACCATTTATTAAATAGGGAATCCTTTCCCCATTGCTGGTTTTTCTCAGGTTTGTCAAAGATCAGATAGTTGTAGATATGTGGCGTTATTTCTGAGGGCTCTGTTCTGTTCCATTGGTCTATATCTCTGATTTGGTACCAGTACCATGATGTTTTGGTTACTGTAGCCTTGTAGTATAGTTTGAAGTCAGGTAGTGTGATGCCTCCAGCTTTGTTCCTTTGGCTTAGGATCAACTTGGCGATGCGGGCTCTTTTTTGGTTCCATATGAACTTTAAAGTAGTTTTTTCCAATTCTGTGAAGAAAGTCATTGGTAGCTTGATGGGGATGGCATTGAATCTATAAATTCCCTTGGGCAGTATGGCCATTTTTACGATATTGATTCTTCCTACCCATGAGCATGGAATGTTCTTCCATTTGTTTGTATCCTCTTTTATTTCATTGAGCAGTGGTTTGTAATTCTCCTTGAAGAGGTCCTTCACATCCCTTGTAAGCTGGATCCCTAAGTATTTTATTCTCTTTGAAGCAATCGTGAATGGGAGTTCACTCATGATTTGGCTCTCTGTTTGTCTGTTATTGGTGTATAAGAATGCTTGTGATTTTTGTACATTGATTTTGTATCCTGAGACTTTGCTGAAGTTGCTTATCAGCTTAAGGAGATTTTGGGCTGAGACAGTGGGGTTTTCTAGATATACAATCATGTCACCTGCAAACGGACAATTTGACTTCCTCTTTTCCTAATTGAATACCCTTTATTTCCTGCTCCTGCCTAATTGCTCTGGCCAGAACTTCCAACACTATGTTGAATAGGAGTGGTGCAACTGGATCCCTTCCTTACACCTTATACAAAAATTAATTCAAGATGGATTAAAGACTTAAACGTTAGACCTAAAACCATAAAAACCCTAGAAGAAAATCTAGGCAATACCATTCAGGACATAGGCATGGGCAAGGACTTCATGTCTAAAACACCAAAAGCAATGGCAACAAAAGACAAAATTGACAAATGGGATCTAATTAAACTAAAGGCCTTCTGCACAGCAAAAGAAACTACCATTAGAGTGAACAGGCAACCTACAAAATGGGAGAAAATTTTTGCAACCTACTCATCTGACAAAGGGCTAATATCCAGAATCTACAATGAACTCAAACAAATTTACAAGAAGGATATAAACAACCCCATCAACAAGTAGGCAAAGGATATGAACAGATGCTTCTCAAAAGAAGACATTTATGCAACCAAAAGACACATGGAAAAATGCTCATCATCACTGGCCATCAGACAAATGCAAATCAAAACCACAATGAGATACCATCTCACACCAGTTAGAATGGCAATCATTAAAAAGTCAGGAAACAACAGCTGCTGGAGAGGATGTGGAGAAATAGGAACACTTTTACACTGTTGGTGGGACTGTAAACTAGTTCAACCATTGTGGAAGTCAGTGTGGCGATTCCTCAGGGATCTAGAACTAGAAATACCATTTGACCCAGCCATCCCATTACTGGGTATATACCCAAAGGACTATAAATCATGCTGCTATAAAGACACATGCACACGTATGTTTATTGTGGCACTATTCACAATAGCAAAGACTTGGAACCAACCCAAATGTCCAACAACGATAGACTGGATTAAGAAAATGTGGCACATATACACCATGGAATACTATGAAGCCATAAAAAATGATGAGTTCATGTCCTTTGTAGGGACATGGATGAAATTGGAAATCATCATTCTCAGTAAACTATCGCAAGGACAAAAAACCAAACACCGCATGTTCTCACTCATAGATAGGAATTGAACAATGAGAACACATGGACACAGGAAGGGGAACATCACACTCTGGGGACTGTTGTGGGGTTGGGGGAGGGGGGAGGGATAGCATTAGGAGATATGCCTAATGCTAAATGATGAGTTAATGGGTGCAGCACACCAGCATGGCACATGTATACATATGTAACTAACCTGCACATTGTGCACATGTACCCTAAAACTTAAAGTATAATAATAATAAATTATTATATATTAACACACATTCTATGAATATATTAATATTAGTCACTATATTAATATATCATGTAACATGAACAGTTTCCAACAAAAATTATGAGAGTAAAGAAACAGCAATGTGTGACTCACACACCAGAAAGAAAGCAGTGAACTGAAACTGTCTTTGAGAGTGACAAGACATTAGATTTAACAAAGACTTGAGATTTGCTGTATGGTCAAAGAACTAAATGAAACCATAATAATGGTGACAATGGCTTATCAAGTAAGTAGACAATGTCACCAAAGAAATAGAACTTAAAAAGAACCAAACGGAATTATGGAGCTGAAAGTACAATAACTGAAATGAAAAATTGTGTTAAAGTGACTCAACAGTAGGTATGTTCTAACAGAAGAAAGAACTAGTGAACCTGAAGATAAATTAATAGAGTTTACGCAGTCTGAAAAACAGAGCAAATAGAATAAAAATAAAGAGAACCTCAGAGAAATGTGGAACACCTTTAATCACACTAACATACACATAAGAGATAAAAAATACTGATAAAAATAATGCCTGAAGTATAAAATTCCAAATTTATTAAAAAATAACAACCTATACTTCCAAAAACTTTAACAAACTCCAAGTACGATTAAAAACAAAGATATACACATATAGACACACCATAATGAAAACTCTGAAAGTCAAAGACCAGGAGAAATATCTTATTAAAAGCGGCAACAAATAAATTAATAAATAAAGAATTCATCACCTATTAGAAAACCTCAATAAGATTAACAGCAGACATATCTTCAGAAACAATGGAGGGCAGAAGACAGTGGAAAAAAATATTCGACCAATGCTTGGGAGACGGGAGGAGAAAAACCTATGAACCAAGAATTCTATGTCCAGCATAACTATTTTTCAAAAATAAAGGATTATATACCATGACCAAGTGGTTTTTATTCTAGGAATGCAAAGCTGGTTGAACATTCAAAAATAAGTTAATACAACACATCATGTCAACAGAATAAATATAAAACCCACCTGATCAACTCGAATCAGAAAGAGTATTTGATGAAATCCAAAACATTTCTGATAGAAATACTCAACAAACTAAGAATAGAAGGGAACTTCTTCAACCTGATAAAGAGTATCTATGAAAACCCACAATTACCATTATACTTAATGGTGAAAAAATTAAATTATTTTTCTCTGAGACTTTAAACAAGACAAGAATGTATTCTCTTACCATTTCCACTTAATATTCTTTTAAGACTTCTAGCCAGGGCAATTGAGTAAAAATAAATTAAAGGTATTTAAATTGGCAACAAGGAAGTAACACTATCTCTCTTCCTAGATGGCATAATCTTATATGCAGAAAATTATAAGAACTTGTCTAAAACACTATTAGAACTAATAAAAAAAGTTCAGAAAGGTTGCAAAATAACAAATAAATATATAAAATTCTGTGTGTTTCTATATGCTTGCAATAAAATTCCAAAAATAAAATTAAGAGAATAATTTGATTTTAAAATAGCATAAAAAAAATAAAGTGCTTAGAAATAAATTTTACAAAAAGGAGTGCAAAATTTATACTCTGGAAACCACAAAACATTTTTGTGAGAAATTAAGAAGTTCCAAATAAACAGAAAGCCATTCTATGGTGATTGCTTGGAAAACCTAATATTGTTTAGTTGGCTGTTATTATGGAATAAGTTATGCCCTGACTCCAAAATTCATATGTTGACATCCTAATTAATCCTCAGTTCCTGAGAATGTGACTATATTTGGATACAGGGTCTTTAAAGAGGTAATTAAGTTAAAATGAAGTCATTAGGATGGACCTCATCCAAAATGACTGATGTCCTTATAAGAACAGGAAATTTGCACATAGATACATATACAGAAAAAAATGATGTAAAGGCACAGGGAGATGTTGGCCATCTATGAGCCAAGGAAAGAAGAAACCAACCATGCTGACACCCTGATCTCGGACTTCTGGCCTTCAGAGTTGTGAGAAAATTAATTCCTATCATTTAAGCCACTCAATCTCTGGTACTTTGTAATGGCAGCCCTTACAATTTAAGACAGAAATAATTCCCAAATTGACCTATAGATTCAATGCAATTTCCATCAGAATCCCAGCTGGTTTCTCTGTAAAAATTGACAATCTGCTTTTAAAATTCATGTGGAAACTCAAGTAACCCAGGAATAGTGAAAACATTCTTGAAAAAGAAGAACAAATTTAGAGGTGTGACACTTTTCAATTGCAAAACTTAAGGCAAACCTACAGTAATCAAAACAGCATACTATTTGCATAAAGATAGAGATATAGATCAAAGGAATAGAATTGAGTTTCCAGAAGTAAACTCACATTTTTTATCAATTGATTCTCAACAAAGGTGCCGAGACAATTTAGTAGGGGGGAGCGGAGAAGAAGTCTTCTCAACAAATGATACTGGGAGAACTGGATATCCACTTACAAAAGTATAAATTTGGACCCCTATATCACACTGTGTACCAAAATTAACTCAAAGTGGATTAATAACCTATATGTGAGAAGTAACACTATAAAACTCTTGGCAAAAGAACATAGGCACAAATCACATCCTTGGGTTTGGCAATGTTTTCTTAGATAAGACAACAAACACACATGCAACAACAAATATATTGATAAATTTGACCTCTTCAAAATTAAAGACATTTGGGCTTTAAAAGACATTATCAAGAAAATGAAAAAATAACCCAGAAAATGAGAGAGGATATTTGCAAATTATATGTCTGATAAGGGACTTGTATCTAGACTATCTAAAAAACTTTTAAAGTCAATAGTAAATCATGTAACCCAGTTTTAAAATAGACAAAGAATTTGAATAGATATCAAGAAGATATATAAACAACCAATAAGTACATGGGAAACATGTTCAGTACCATTAGTGACCAGGGAAATGCAAATCAATATCACAAGTGAGATACCACCTCACACTCACTGTGATGCTAATACCAACAAGATAAACAATCAGTGTTGGAGAGGATATAGAGGATCGGAACTCATATGCTGCTGGTAGAAATGTAAAACAATGGAGCCACTTTAGAAAGTGGTCTGGCTATTCCTCAAATGATTAAACACAGAGCTAACATATGATCTAGCAATTGCATTACTAGGTATGTATTCGAGAGAAATAAAAATATATCCACAAAAACTTGCCCACAAATGTTCACAGAATCTTTATTCAGAATATTCAAAAGGTAGAAACAACCCAATGTCCATCAACTGATGAATGAACAAACAAAATATGGATAAATAATCATACATCAGAACATTTTTTCAGCAATAAAAAACTAATCACAAACTCGGGAGGCTGAGGCAGGAGAATCACTCGAACCCAGGAGGCAGAGGTTGCAATGAGGTGAGATTGAGCCATTGCACTCCAGCCTGGGTGACAGAGCGAGACTCCATCAAAACAAAAACAAAAACAAAACAAAACAAACAAACAAAAAACCTGGTACATACTACAAAGTGGAACAATCATGAAGACATTATGCCAACTCTGAGAAGGCCATCACACAATACCACATATTATATGCTTCAATGTATATTAAATGTCCAGAATAGGCAAACTTATGGAGACAAAAAGTACATTAGTGGTTGCTTAGACGGCAAGAGGGATGGAAGAATTGGGGAAGGAGGGAAAGGGTAAAGATGTTTTAAAACCGATTATAGTGATTGTTGAACAACTCTGTGAATATCCTAAAAATCATTGAATTTTATACTTTAAATGACTTAATTCTGTGGTATGTGAATTGTATTTTAATGAAGTTGTCACAGAAAAGGTTTATCTCACTTTTCCTTTGTCATGTCTATGTATTTCATCAAAGAACACATAAATTATTAGTGATGAATAACACAATAACCAGTCCTTTAGACACTATCATGAGAGTACAGACAATTAAGTTATAATAAAAATAATGATGAGAATATATAAGACGACACCTCTCTATAGGGTGTCAATGAATCTTATAAGAAGAGACACCTTACAGAGACTTGACAGATTAGAGATGAATGCCAGGAATTACCTAAACTGATTTCTGAAGGAGTATGGCATAATAGGCAAAGCATTCCAGTAATACACAAGAGCATGCACAAGTTCCAGAGGAAAGATAAACTATATGGCAGGAGCAGGGACCCTGAATTATAATCATGCAATATGGCTATAAAGAAAAATTAAAGGAAGAGAGAAAAAAACTTTGGGTTAGAGAAGTAGGTGGAGACCACATTGTCTCATTGATTGGCCGAAGTGGAGAGTAGGGCTTTGTGATTATGAATGGGAACAGCCAACTTCTACAGGATCATATTGCTTCAAGCAGTGTCCTTTATTGCTGGCGACTTCCTGGTTTATTCTGTCTCACATGTGTTTCTTAGAGGTGTCAGGGATTCATGTAACAGGAAAAATTTTACTTGCAGTTTATATTCAATCTCTCTGATTAAGTATCAATCAGTTTAGGTAATTCCTGGCATTCATCTCTAACCACTTTTTTTCTTAATATTAAATACTCGTGTTTTCTCTTCAAACCAAATCAGCTGGTATCACGTTCTTCATAAGTCTTATGACTGCTACTTTTTAATACTGTTTTTCTTCTCCACTGGAATATAACAGCTATAAAAGCAGAAAACTTGTTTTGTTTACTGCTGCATCTTCAGTGCCCCAACTAATAGATAAAACATGGTAAGAATTCAACAAATCTATATAGAATCAATGAAAATACATTAATCTCTCATTAGTTTCCAATTTCATTTATCTGTTTAAGGTATTTTAATAATATGTGGAATTCACATACCTTTATAAAATTTCCCATAAATAGAAGAAGAATTGGTGATGGGGAGGGACTGGGAAAGGGTAAGGAAACTGTTGTTTTTCTCAAACCTATCTTTTGAAAGAAAGATATCATTATCCTTTAAAAAGCTGAGAACATAACATCAACTATCAGCTTCCAAAAGAATCTCATCAAGGTATTGACCTTTGGAGCACATGTCAGACACACTGATTTACCTAGGTGAGCAAGAATCCAAAGCTTCTTCTGGATTTTCTATTTTCCTTTGTAATATTTAGTTTCAAAAAACCTGACTTACATGGTTGCCATGGAAATGAATGAAATGGTGAATCGTGAATCTTTTAGAAGAATGCTGCATAAATGTGAAAAAGGGCTATTTTTATTAATATTTTTACAATGTTGGTAATCTCATGATACAGAAGATTCAATAGAAAAAGAGAAAAGTTTATTATTATAGTCCTAACTCTCAGTATGTGATGTAAATGCTGTGAAAAAAATCAATACATTGTTGCAATGAATAAAAAAATACCGGAAGATTAGTTCTGTACTCTGATTTGTTATTTTATATAAGTAAATATATCATAAATCATAACCTCTATGAAGCAATATAATAGCAATTCACTTATACATGTGTATAGGTTCTTTTGTCTAATGTCAGCGTCATAAAGTATTTCCTCTTTACTGTCAACCTAAGCACAAAGCTCTTCCTCTTTGAAGCCTAGCTCTTTTTTAAAAAGCTTCTGACATCTTTTAATGTGAAAAGAAACAAGTGTATATCTGTGAACCCAATAAGGTAACCATAGTGGGGGACAAGGTATTAACAGTTACAAAAGTATTGTATGAAATATTGACCATCATTTGGAAGAATGAAAAAATCCAAAAGATATAATCAGATTCCCCAGGTGGAAAATGAATACCAAAGAGCTTTCAACTTTATATGTAAATTACATACTATGGTATATTTTTAATAGCAGCTAATACAGCATAATTACATTATTTTTGGCTTATTTAGAAATTTTCATTCTCAAATTAAATAATTTTAAATTGGCCTTATTCAAAAATATGTAATAGCTACAATCAATGGAATGATTTTCAAACATGATTAGTAAGATAGTAGCTTATACAAGACCAACTAAATTGTTTATTGCTTTCATGACTGCTGCCTACCTTGAAGATTGTTATCATATCTGAATGGTGTTTATTGAGCAGAGTATATTTTCTTTTTTTTGTTCCACAGCTAATTCTTCAAGTTCTTTTGTCATTTTAGAAAAGGAGATAACCATAAGGACTAGTAAGCTAAGGTGTAACCTACCTGCACTTCATTAGTTTTCTGGATGTTAAGGGATAGTTGCCAAATGGCACTTTGACATATATTGTTAAAAAGTCTAAAATAAAAGTTCACTTTCAATTTAAACTTTTAAGTCCTGGATGGTGTTCTAGAAGTCCATCTATGAGAACTAACAGTTTTCTTCTGCATTAAGTATATGAGAATATAAGGGTTACCTTTAAGACTTCTACAATTATAATTTATTTGAACTTGATGAGTCTCATTTATCCCTCCAAGAATATTATATTATAAGATCAATAAATAATGCAAAACAGATTTGCCTGCTATGGAAGGTCAAGGAAAGTAATTTCTTCTAGTGATAGAAATATTAGGAGATGAAGGTAATGTTCAAAAGATTGTGTGTGGTGTTTGAAGTTACCTGCCATGATAGAATAATCAATAACTAACTGGAAAGACCTTCATTTGATCATTCATGCCTCATTGCTCTTGAGCATTATTAAATATTCTCTTGGTTTCTCAGCAGGTTGTCTTTGAAGTTGCCACATGGAACATTTCTGTGCATGAAGGATTACAATTTAGGAAAAAAAACGTGATACTGACAGGTAGCTACAAGATAAAAAGAGATATAATAAACTTGTACATAGTTCATCAATTACTTAATGACCTTGAGTAACAAGATTATTTTTATCAAAATATGCTTGTTTCCTCTTGAGAAGTCAGTTTTGCCAAATGGCCAACCATAGTCTATTGACCATTTAGAAGTACTGGACATAGGGAAAACATTTAAATTATAGCTGGTATATTATATGGGAGATGTTCATAAAGATGCAATGAATATTTTTTCAACCAAGTATTTTTTGTCAGAAGTGATGATAAATTAAAATGATTTTCTTTAGGAATATCATATTTTACCAACAAAATTATTAGTGAAAACATTTGCCAAGTTAAAACAAGAACTCAGAAATACTGTGCCATGAGTATTATCACTTTCCTAAATCCTAAATATATAGCAAGCATGAAGCAGAGCATAAGTGTCAGCTGAAAGAGGAATTTTATGCATGACCACAAAGGTGGTGTGGCCAAAAGCATGGAAGTGGCTCATGTTTACAAAAATCCAAGATCCCACAAAAAATTTTGTAATTTATGAAGAATGACCCCTTAGGGAGGAGTTAGTTTTGACTAGAATTACATTCTCATACAGACACACACACACACACACACACACACACACACACACACACACTCATTTGAAAAGATCACCCAAACCAACACTTATGGTAAGAGTGAAATGAAATTTACATGAAGAAATTCATGGCATGATCCTTAAACAATGACAAATATTTCATTCCATCATAATGTTCCCATTCAGTCAAAAGGCGTTCATTAAAATTTACAATGGATTTACAATAGGAAATGAAAATACAAGGATAAATAAGCCACATTCCTTACTCTCAAATCATGGGGAAACCAGGCAGATAAATAGATTGCATTGTTGTGTAACAAAACCCTGTTCACAGAGAACAGCACGTGATTCTACCAGGGGGAGCCAAGACAATGTCTGTAGAGAAGATGATGTTTTTACTAAGTCTTGATGAATAAGTATGAGTTTGCTATACTGAGAAAATATGAGATGACAATCTCTGGAAAGTGCGTAGATTGAGTAAAGAAAGTTTGAGAATCATGAACAACTCAGTGTTATAGAGCACAGAATGCAAAGAATGATGTGGCTAGTATAGCTGAAGCGGGGTTTGTTGCTATCCTTTCTTACATTTTCAGTAGTTAAAGTTCAGCAGATAGCAATTTGAACACAATATTTAGTTAGAGCAGTGGTAACATTAAGGAAGCTAATCAATAAGGTTTATAATAGATTACATTGAGAAATGAGGGGCAAGGCAGAAGTTAAGGGTGATGTTAATCTTTCTTGAAAATATTGACAGCGATAATGTCACTCAACAAGATAGAAAATAAATAAAAAGAAAAAACCAAAGGCAGCGAATTCTACTTTTTACATTTTAAGTTTGAATTACAAATTCACTTGGTTTTAGGAACAAAGGTGCAGGAGACATTGTTGGAATAAACAGCTCAAGATGGCACTTCAAATTTGGGGAGTAAATAGTACCATTCATAGAGCGCAAGAAGGAAAAAAGAATCAAGAGCATTAAAGAATAAAGGAGAATGAGGAGAAGTCAAAAGTTCGGAGGAAAGCTAGGGGCATGGAGGTGAGGAGTGGGCAGGTAGTGAGGTAGAATGATTTTCTGAAAGCCTAGAAAAGATTCCTCTAATGAAGAAAGGCAGGAGGATTGTGACAAGACTGTAAAACACAGAAAAAAGGTCAAAGAAAAAACTGAAACAGCCCACTGGGTTTAGCAATTGAAAAATAAGCCATTGGACTTGGAAAGAAGACTGTCTGTGTAACAGGAACACAAACTAGGTGTCCACGGGCTGAAGAGTTGGAATGAAGTGATGATGTGCAAACAATACTACTAAGTCTAGAAAGAAGTTCCAGAAGGATGGAAGAGAGTAACTAAATCGAATTTAGCTGAAGGTGTTAAGTGTGAGTGCAGCTTTATTGTTCATTACTTTTTTCATAGAAAGAGGGGCAAATAGGAATACCTAAGTGTGTTTTTAAAGTGCTTTTATACAAAGTGAAAGACAAAAACCAATGAACAAAGTTCTAAATAATTTGTAATAGAGCCTTAATCTTAGAAAGGTAGGCCGGGCGTGGTGGCTCACACCTGTAATCCCAGCACTTTGGAAGGCCAAGACAGGTGGATCACTTGAGTTCAGGAGTTCGAGAGCAGTCTGGCCAACATGGTGAAACCCTGTCTCTATTAAAAATACAAAAATTAGCTGGGTGTGGTAGCACACACCTGTAGTCCCAGCTACTCGGGAGGCTAAGGTGGGAGAATTGCTTCAACCAGGGAGTGGAAGTTTCAGTGAGCCGAGATCACGCCATTGCACTCCAGCCTGAGTGACACAGTGAGAGTCCGTCTCAAAAAAATAAAAAGAAAAAAATAAAAAAGAAAGAAAGAAAGAAAAGGTGAAAAAAAATGGCTTATTTCGGATGAAATAGGAAGATACAATAGATACAATGACACATGGAACTTTAGGTATATTTACAAACAAAAAGGAGCAAAGAAGTAAATGTTGTAACATAATAACTTCTATTTTTCTGGAAATGTCAATTTATCATCTCTTGGGCTGTGTTGATGTGGCTTGGATCTGTGTCCCCATCCAAATCTCATGTTCAATTAAATTCCCAATGTTGGAGATGGGGCCTGGGTGATTGGATCATGGAGGTGGTATCTCGTGAATGTTTTAGCACCGTCCCCTTGGTGCTGTTCTAGTGATAGCGAGTCAGTGGGTTATCCTGAGATCTGGTTGTTTAAAAGCATGTGGCCCCTCCCCACCACCATTCCTCCTGCTCAGGCCATATAAGAGGTGCCTGCTTCCCCCTTCATCTACTGCCATGATTGTAAGTTTCCTGAGGCCTCCCCAGAAGCTGAACAGAAGCCACTACGCTTTTGTACAGCTGCAGAACAGTAAGCCAATTAAACCTCTTTTCTTTATAAATTGCCCAGTTTCACGTATGTATGTATGTATGTATGTATGTATGTATTTATTTATTTATTTTGTTGTTGGGACAGAGTTTCACTCTTGTTGCCCACGCTAGAGTGCAATGGCACAGTCTCAGTTCACTGCAACCTCTGCCTCCCAGGTTTAAGTGATGTTCCTGTCTCAGCCTCCCAAGTAACTGGGATTACAGGTGCCCACCGCCATGCCCAGCTCAGTTTTATATTTTTAGTAGACATGAGTTTTCACCATGTTGGCCGGCAGGTCTCAAACTCCTGACCTCAGGTGATCCACCCGCCTCAGCATCCCAAAGTGCTGGGATTACAGGTGTGAGCCACCACACCTGGCCTCACGTATTTCTTTAGAGCAATGCAAGAACAAACTAATACAAGGGTATATCAGAAGGGAAGGAGTTTGCAAGTCATATTATAGCAAAATTTGTTAATCCAGTGATTAGAGGTGTGAAGATAAATTAGTTTTGGTATTTTGGTTATGAAATCTATTAAGTTCAAAATTATTCACAGTGACATAGTTGAGGGTTAATATCAACACCTGTGAGTCATTTTCTACCCTGAACATAGCTAATCTCCTCCTCATATGCAATGTATGTTGATACATTTAACTAACTATAGTTTCTATGTTTGCTCAACAAACCCAAGGCATCCAGGTTAGGAATCCAGAATACAAAAGCTTTCAAATCTTAAAAATATGAATTGGTTGAGAATGCCAAAAGACTATTAGGTACTGTGTTGCTTTTGTATGGAGTCATATGATACTTAAAATAATGGGAACATTCAGCAGGGCATGGTGGCTCATGCCTATAATCCCAGCACTTTGGGAGGCCAAGGCAGGCAGATCACTTAAGCTGAGGGGTTCAAGACCAGCCTGGGCAAAATGGTGAAACCCTGTCTCTAAAACACACACACACACACACACACACACACACATACACACACACACACACACACACACACACACACAAAAGCTGGGTGCAAGCCTGTGGTCCTAGCTAATGAGGGGGCTAAGGCGGGAGGATTGCTTGAGCCCAGGAGGCAGAGGTTGCAGTAAGCCAAGATTGCACCACTGCACTCCAGCCTGGGTGACAGAGCAAGACCCTGTCTCAAAAATACATAATAAATAAATAAATTTTAAATAATAAAATAAAATAACCAATAATTCCTAGCATAAATAAGACCTGTTAGCCTGAGATATGTATCCAGACTTGCCTTTCTTTAAAAAAAATTGTCCTTTTCTCTGTTTTCTTTTCTTATTGGTGTTATTCTACCTTAAGAAGAAAATCTGGAAAAGCAGTTTATTAAAATTCATTCCGTCAAAGCAGAGTTAAATCACAAATGGGGAAAATTATCCCAAACTCAGAAAAGGGCAAGACAGACTAATGGGTATCCTTCAGGATCATGATCCACATTGTCCAGTGGACTCTCCAGGGATTGTCCAATTCCATAAGCTGAACATCTTGATCTAACTTTCTATTGAGTACTGTATTTTATATATCTCTAGTGGCAGAAACTAACTTGATGAAATCTGACAAAAATGTAAATTATTCTTACCCATAACAATGGAAATGAATTTTGTCTGGTGGAAATCCAATTGATTTATGCCTTGTAGAATAGATAACAAATACAACATTTAACATCCTATATGATATTAACCAGTTTTGAATCTGTTTGCAAATTCATTTATATAATCCTGCACATACACACACACATAAACATACACACACTGCAGTTCTTCAAATTCTTCTTTGAACTAGTTTAACATCTTACTGGTTTGCTCATTAACTCATGAGTTAAATAAAATCTTTCCTGTATTCATTTTATATTTTTAAGAGTCATGAGTTATTTTTTCTAAAATTGAGCTTTAGCACAAAGCAGTTAAGTAAAATGGATAACTACTTTTTAAAAATCTCTGTCTAGAAGCATGTCTTCCAGATCTTCCAAAAAAAAAAAACCCTCATTATATCAATGCCACAGCATTAATAAAATAAGTTTCAAGTCACAGTCTTCCATTTATATCAGTTCATCACTGGAATATATTCATTTTTGTCAACAAAAAAATAAGATTAAGTAAAATTGAATTAGAACTGTACATATTTGTGTAAGTAATAAAACATCTGTTTATTGTGAAATAAATGTTTTACAGAACGAGTATTAACTAAAATGTTGACAAGTATATCCGTAGTCAGTGTGGAGCAATTTTTATAATAAAATCTGCACTTTCTCTAACAAGTTCCCTTAGAGATTAAGAGAAAAACACACCGAAATGTAAGAAAATAGATTGAAATTTTAGTATAACAACTACATAGGCTAACTTCACATTTTAGCAAATTCAGAAAATTTTAGCACTTTTCAGAAAATTTTTCTGAATACCCATAAACGGTAACCTTATATAATTAGTGATTTATATAGACAGACTCACCATTTAGATACTCAGAAAAAGCCATTTGTATAATGATCATATCAACAAGAAACAAACAGACACTATTATTTGATTCTAAACACGTGACTGTGCAGATGAGGTTTCCTACTTCAGTCATATAAGGGACAATTCTGAGTACAAGACCGATATGCTCTATATTTCTCAACAATGAGGATTTTGCCTCCATCTGTTTTAATCATTTACTACAGATTAAGTATTGGTATTTATAAAAGAGTAATATGGATATGATTTGAAATGGCAAGCTCATTATAGAAAAAAGGACACAAAGTACCAAGTGAGTAAATATATATATTATATATATATGCTCTATATATAGAGAGAACAAAGAGAACAAATATGTATTTGAGTGTGTGTGTGTGTGTGTGTGTGTGTGTGTGTGTGTGTGGATAAAAAGCCTGGAAAGAAACCATCTGAACTGCTGACAGTAATACTTTCTGAACCAGTTTACAGCGGATATGTTTTGTTACTTTCTTCATAATTTTCTAATTTTTTTCAAACTTTTTACAGTGAAATTGAATTTATCAAAAGTCCATGCTTTTTCATCTGTCACAGACTGTGCTACTCATTTTTCTCTCTTCAAGTTTTCATCTACCGTTTCTTCACTTAAGTGTTTCTAAAACTCAAGAAGAATCATGCTTTCCATTGTTCTCACAATTGTTTCTATTTGGTAATTGAGTTCACTGAGTGTGGTTCCTAAACTTTCAGCTATGGCAGGTCCACTCATTAACAGCTTGTGTCTGAGCATTTCAAATGTTTTACATGCCTTTATTCCCACTGTAAGTCATATGGCATAATTCTCCACTATTACAAGGAAAAATCCCCTCTGAAGGTATACCAATGACTTACTAGGAAGGAGCACATTGCATGGATATTTGCAAACTCAGCATGAAACATTATTAGCAAGGAATTAAACAGCATGTTTTCAGTAGTATTCAAACTAGAAGCAAATGGCCCTTTTGTAACAGATATCTTATATCCTAATTATTATATTCCTTCTACATGGTTACAAAATAAACATATAAAATGAAAATGGCATTTGGAAATGCATTTTTGTTGTACTTCAAAGATTGAGAATATTAGTTTTATCTAGTATTTAGGAAAGTCCCACAGATATCCAATATTTTTTCTGTAGTCAAGAGACTTTTGGAAGATGGTGGCTTCAATGAATCCCAACTTGATTAGCCTCTCAGTTCTCACCTGTCCACCTTTGCTGAGTAAGCAGCTACTGGGAAGAGCACGCAGGCAGGTTACAAGTGAGTCCCAACTCTGCATTCCTTCTGATGGAGACAGTCCCTCTGGATCAGAAATGAGTTTAGAGAACAGCATCAGAGAGGACTGAGACAGAAATTAGATCTCAAGAGCAGGTCTGTCCTTAGAGGCCAAGCACTCAGTAATTGCTGAAGAAGTGACTTGAAACCACCCTGTTCATTCAACTGAAAGTCTACAAGGAGCACAGGGAGCAGGAAATCTTCCTTCTGGGCATCCAGAGATGACTGACAACTTGACAACTCTTATAGCATCAGCCTCCAGGTAGAGTACAGTGACATACACCACTTACAGGTTGTCATCACTTAAATTTACACAAAGTAAAATTACCACAAGCTCCATGGGATCCTATCAACACAAAAGAAGAAATGGACAAGCAGAACAAGCCCCAATATCCTTAAGGATACTGCAGCTCTGGAGAAGAATGATAGCACCACCACACTTAGAATAATCACACAAGAGTATATCAAGACATTTAAGAAAAGCTTAAAACAAGTTCTTGGAAATGAAACACATCATTTCAAGCTAAAAAATGTTCTGCACTAATTTGCATTCCTCCCAACAATGCATGAGTTCTCCTTTCTTCACATACTCACCAGCATTTGTTACCTTTTGTGTTTTTGCTAATGTCATTCTATATGGCATGAGATGATATATCATGATTTTCACTTGTTTCAAGAGTCCTTGGTCTCCCAATCTAAAATAGCTGTAACCATACTTGATGATTAGCGATGTTGAACACTTTTTCATATACTTGTTGACCATTTGTATGTCTTCTTTTGAGAGATGTCTATTTGGGTGTTTTATTCATTTTTTAAATCAGATTATATGTTTTGTTTTGTATTGGTCTTGAGTCGTTTGAATTTCTTATATATTCAAAATAGCTAGAAGAGAGACATTTGGTGATGAAAATGCTAAATACCCTGAATTGATCATCATACAATGTATATATGTATCAAATTAAATGTGTCAATGTATCAAATTATGTGTCAATTAAAAAAATAAATAAATATATAAAAATGCTTTAAAGTGACAGAAAATTGCTGGTAACACCTGAATTTGCACGGTAACATGCTCTGCTCTAATCTTCTAATGATTTTCCTTGCTATTCAAAATAAAACTCCACCTTCTCACTATTGTTGAAAGCTCCGTTATGACCTTCTATTCCACTACTCCCTGACCTCGATTCTACCTTCTCTCCTCTTAAACTATTCTAGACATATTTTGCAGTTTTTTGTACACATAATGAAAGCACGATCACGCCTCCAGCCTTTTGCACTTGGTCTTCCCTCTGCCTACATCAGTCTCCTCCCAGATAGTCACGTCTTACTCTCTCTTTACATTCAATTGTCACTCCATTCAAGAGTCCTTGGTCTCCCAATCTAAAATAACTGTAACCATACTCTCTCAAAACCTTTATTCATTTTTATTCATCTATATGATATGTATTATTGTCTGGCATATTTTTAATTGTTCATTGTTTTCAATTTCATCTCCTTTCCAGCAAGCATATACTCTGCATAAGCATGTCTGGTTTATTCACTTCTGAATTTGTAGTACCTAGATCAGTGTCTGGCACACAGTAGGTATTCAACAAATTTATTGAATCAGTGAATAACTAGGTGATTGAATAAATATGTGAATGAATACATGGTGGGTAAGCATCAACTAAAATTGGTCTCTCATTGTCCTCAATTCTTGATATAGTGCTAATCTCTATTACAAAAAGCAATGATAAGCACTGTGGAAATGAATTCTTAAATGGTTTCATGTGTGTATGAGAGTGCTGAAATGATGATACCAAATACAGCAAAAAGCAGGGGCTGTGGGGCCAACATTTACTAGTGTGGCTGATTTTATTGTTTGTTTATAATTAGTTGCTTCCTCTGCACTCTTTCCAAATTCCTTATAGGTAGAGTACAATTCCCTGCCCCATTCCACTGATTTTGGGTTGATCATGTAACTCGCTCTATAGCCAATGGAATGTGAGCAGCTGTGATTTTTGCTGCATTTGGGCAGAAGCTTGAAAGGCAGTTCTGCGACTTGGTGCTGATACTCTGGCTCTGACACATCCATTCTAGGAACTGCATGTTCCAGAAAGTTTGCTGGCTATTTCTTCAACTTGGGTTCTGAAATTAGAAGACACACAGAGCCTAGGAGATCCCATCAGAATTGAAGCCTTCCTATAGCTTTTATTATCATCAGCAATTACTATATGCTACTGGGTTATTGGAAATTTTGGCTGCAGAGAAACCTAATATAACTAAGTATTTCAGAGGTTAAATATCACTGTGAAAACTAGGAAAGATGAGAAGACGTATTATTTATTTGTCTCTGTATCCCCAGAACCTAGAACCACAAATGATATCAATATATTCCTAAATCTATATCCAGTGTCAATTTTCATTCAAATGAACTCTCTGTCCTTTATTTTGGATTGGCTCCCTTCTGTATAACAACAAAATGGATTTTTGTTTCATTTGAGTCAGTCTCTAAACATTCAGAATTACACAAATTTTTCAGGCATATCTTTCTGGATAAGTGTAAGAAGAACAGTAAAAGTTGTTACCATTAAGTTTGTATTTATCTAATTGTGATTTAATAGGTTCTCAAGAAAATAAAATAATGTAAATAAACACATTTAAGAAGTGAGGATGAATGTTCATGCATATACTTGAATGATAAAAGTAAATGAAGGAAACTTGTGGTCAGACTAGATCTATTCTCTACGAACATTTATTCCTATCTTCTAAACTTATAGCAGGATTATAGTTCCTTGGCCTCCTGTAGTTGGGTGGAAACAGATGACGAGTTCTGTACAATGAGTTGTGAGTGAGTTACATGGGTTGATTTTAGGCCAAAACATTTACTTGCCATTTTGAGACATTAAGAGTTCTGGCATGTGACTGCCAAGTTCCCAGATATAGCTTCTACACTAGCATGGATTCTGAGTGAATACTAAGAATAGGTCTCTCCTGACAACCAATCTATGAGATGTAGTATAAAAATAAAGTCGAACTCTTGTTTTAAGTCACTGAGATTTTGAGGGGATTGTTAATAACTATAGCATCACTTGATAAAACATAGACGTATGGTTGAATATATATCCTCAGTGTATATGTGAACACACTAACATAATATTGTAACTGAAACAGCAGGGGTTCAGTCTAGGTCCTGCTGCTCACCACACAGAAAGCCAATCACTGAGACAACAAGTATTGCCAGGGAAGAAGGCTTTAATCAAGTGCTGCAGCCTAGGAGATGCGAGTCTCAAACTCATCTTATTAACTGACTAAAATTGGGGAGGGGGTTATATAGCAGAAAAAAAAAATTTAACCATGTGTTGGAAAACAGGAACCAGGGAAGGATAAGGAAACAAAATGAGGGGTCTAGCATCTCAGTGTCTGGATGCAGTGATCTGGTGAGTTTCAGTTCTTTGATACTTTTTAAGAGGCCTGGGAGTCCTTTCCTGAGGAAGGAACTCGGATAAAACCATTGTAAATTTCAAGCTTTAAGATCAAAAGGGTCAATTTTTATGTTCATCCAAAAGAAGCATCTATGGGACTACTGGGTCTGTTTCAGCCTTCCCTTTCTCTTTTTCAATTCCTCAATCATGGAGAATCTGGTTGTCAATCATTCTGGCTGCTTCATGCTGAGGAGGGGCTTTGTGGACAGCTCCATACCAAAAGTGGCCACATGGTCCCTCAGAATCAAAGGCTAATCTAATACCGTAGTTTTCTGTGAAAACACAATCTTTCTATTCCCCACTTCCATCAAAGACAAATCACAGTAGGACCAACCTACCTGCAAAATAAGCTTCAGTCCCATATAGTTGGCCTGATTACCCAAACACCACCTGGGCTCTCCTAACTAGGCCTTGCTGGAACCTCTCACAAGGCCATTTCAGTCAAAGCTTTGAAGAAATAACTAATTCTTCCAAAGAGTTCCCATTATAAATGAAACAGGTACTTATTAGCCATATGCAAATAAACACATTGCCATGAATTCACAAGTAGTTTTAAAATTGTGGAGAAATTAGGCAGAGAGAGAGAGAGAAATAAGCTTCAAATTCTGTTTACAAAAGTATAGTCTACTCAATACACTTCAAGTGCACTTAAAGGTTACAAATAAGTCTAAAGAAAAAAATTCTCCAGACCCTAAAAAACAAAAAGAATCAGTAATGGTTCAAACCAAAAAAGTCATAAAAAATTATTTCATTCCTTCATTAGTCTGGTCCATGCAATCAACTCCTGCTGTGCTTTATATTGGGTTAGCAATCTTTACAAACACATCAGCTATTTAATTAGAAGCCTGGTAGTTTTCTCTCTAATCCAGTGGCGCAATCTCCAAATTTACCAGAAACCTTCACTCAAGAGTCCTTTTCATGAACTCCTCCTAAGAAGCAAGCCCTGGACTGTAGCTGATTGTAAATCACTTTTTGAGAAGAATCAATGCAAAACAACAATTGTAGATGACAAAAGTATTAGGACAGCCATAATTAAAGACACAGTTGACAAGGAAATTTGGCTATGTCTGTTGACATACAACAATTTAATATAATAATAATTACTGACAACATATATTAAGATATATCAGAATTTCAGAAATCTCATACAATCCTGGAACACATATTAACAGCATATCTATATAAATATAACCCAAATAAAGTTAAATACCCCCTCACATTTGGTAATGCTTTCTATTTAATTCTAACATATCGAATAGGCCTAATATGTTACTCTTGGACTTTAGGAGACCCAATATCCAAAAAAAGTTAGTTTGAGGTCAAAAGACTGAATTTAGAACTTGAAATTTTTCCGTTGGAAAGTCTGTCAAATATGAAAGGATTAAGACACATGGTATCACACAATAGAATCACAAATTACTATAAAATAGCATTCATTTAGCAAAAATGATGAAACAAAAACATTTACTTATTGATAGAGAGGAGACACAGTTTCCCAAACAATAAGACCTAATAAAGAGAGCGTGAGGTCAACTAAGTCTGTCTCTCCCACCCCCTTTTTGTTTTCTTCTGTAGTTTTCCACAAAGGTAAATACAAATCTCTTATTCTCTCTTGCATGAAAATTTTGTTCAAACAGAAAACCAAATTGCATTCTATCTTTGTATGATATATTATTAATATTAAAGCTAACTTTAATAAAACCTTATAAACAAATCTATCTAATTTTAATCAGTTGGACCATAAGTTAAGACTTCCATAAACCTTTTATATCCTTTTGCAATTTTCCATTAAAGAGCAGATGAATACTACAAGAAAACTTTCTAATTCGAACACATGGACCCAGATGCTGGCCTTTCATTAGAGTGCTTTTGATATTAATGTTTAATTTATAGGAACACTCAACTAATCTTATCTCTGGAAATCAATCCTTACAATTTCACACACGCACCTCTTACACAATAGTCCCTGGCCCTAGAGGAGGTTGAAGCGTTTCAATTTTCAACCTTGTCTCTCACGAAACAGTTCATTTTGTTTGTCACCTTCTCCCAGGTCTTAAGACAAGGCTTTGTGTAGGGGCTCAAGGTTCAAAATTTAGCAGGGGTCAGTGCCTTTTTCAGAACCAGGAGTCAAAGCTCTGTAACTTAACAGCACAAGGATTAGTTAATAAGATATTTATACTACAGAAACTCCTATCATTCTCTCCAACATTTCACATATTAAAACACTGTGATTTTTGTATCTAGTAGTTACTGCCTGTAACACTTCAATCCACTGTATTAAAGTAGTTAGTTTACTGATTGCATATGTCTAATTGCTAGCATTCTAGTGATAGACTATGACCAAATGCATCACAAATGTGATAAGTCCTATGCCAAACTTATCAAAGTAAGACAACTAACTTTTCTCTCCATCATTAAAAAAAAAACGATAAATGCAAATTTCAGTTCTGGAAACTCAGTATGAAAATAAATAATCTTCTTTCACTTAAATTCTCTACTACAAAACAAGGACAAAGTAAGAAAAAGCTCCCAGTAATTTCTTTTCAGCTATTTAAGAGTGTTATCACATATTTCTGAGACTGGTGTCCAGATACAGTACTGATAACTGATTAGGTAATTTTCACCACTAAAATCTTCAATCCTGTGCAACATTTGTACAGAATTCATTTCCAAGTACACACATGAAGGCCCATCAGTGATAAGTGATTGGGATACAAAATCATTAGAGAGTCTCACTTTTTTCATTTTTAAAAGTGATTATTATTAATACTTAAACCAGATGAATGTCACTTAATGCTAATAATGGTAAACACAACTGAAGTAGTATGAGAGAAACCCCAGTCAATGTAATTTCCTTAAGGACAAAGGCAATCTTTCCTAAATATTAAAACTTTGTGCCCATATCACAGTTTTTTTCTCATTATAGGAAAAGATCTGAAATGAACTCAAATTATTAATTTAATTGAATTACTTTGGATATATACACCATTTCAGCATTTCTACTCGCATCTACTTTTCCAAGTAACAAAATAAATAATACATTATTTCTCTTCAGAACTTATAAAAATAAGTATTTTATTTATTGATTTATTTTTGTCAGGAACCTTCAAGCTCATAGCTCTCTGGATCAGAGGTGTACAGTGTTATCCAGAGCCTTAAAAAAAAGCACATGATGGATATTTTTTCCTGGTATACAAATTAATGTCTTTAAGTCCAACAATACCATTATATATTTTGTGCAATTAAAAATTATTTTTAGGCACGTGACCAATAAGTTCTTTAGTGCTAGTATTAACTATGCAGAATAGCAAATACAGTGTGAAGCAATACAAGCATTTATATGAAATTTAGCTCCATGCTAAACCTGGCTTCATGCTTAGCTATATTAAAAAAGAACTGCTAAACGGTCAATTTAGTTTTTTTACAATATTTCTTATTTTACTTTCATCAAGATTAAGAGACTTAACTATGAGCAATGTTAATTAGTGAAATTCTCCAATTTTTCATTAGGTTTTAAAGAATATTTTACTATCTAAATTTTTCAAGTTTCTATTTTCACTGTATGTGAATGAAGATCGGCAGAGAAAAACAGGAAAAACTACATGTGACTTACACAGACCATCTATGAATTGTTTGGACTTTCTGTTTTGTCCTAAATTTTTTCTCCTCCTTTTTTTAAATAATAAGTTATTTTACTTTAGGGTAAATATTTACCATACAAGATCCTGTTTCACTCAAAAGTATTCTCATTTTTTTAGAACTATTCTTACCAAAAAATTCATCTTTATATCCATAACTTTCTTCATATCTCTCTCTCTTACTTAGTGGTTTCTTTCTACCTTGTTCATAAATAACCTTTTCAAGTCTGTAATTTGAATTAACCTTTAGATAACTTCTGAAATAGACAAAATTATTCTTTTCCTCACTAAGAATATATCTTCTTTGGCACATTTTATATGCAGAGTTATGTGTTAACTATAAGCCTTATCTTCAGTAACCTTAAATTTTAGTGAAAATCTAGGAAGCATAAACTCCTGAGCTGCCTCTCAGATACTGGCATTTTATAGATGAGACTTATTCCACAATTTTTAGAAATATGTTTCTCCATATCTTAACTTTTTCATAGTTGGAAATGGCCCAGACATCCAATGAGCATCAAAAATAATTTTAAGATTTTAAATTACACAAAATTTTCACCGACAACATTTATCCCATTTACATGTACTCAATTCTTTTATTTTTAAGTTTATCTAGATTACTTCAGAAAAATTTACAGCCAGTGAACAATAAGTGCTCACCTAAGTAAGAACCTTGAAGTTAAATATTTTTGCCAACAACGCAGAATATTCAGCTCACATTAAATTAGTCTCACTTGTCAAAGAAGGCACACAAACCAATATCATTTTATTTTAGCTGGGTTTATAGTCTTTTAAACTTCTATGGCAAGCCCTGACACCTCAAAATATCTAGCAGAGACAAATATAAAACCCAGATAAAAATGTACACTGACAATTCTGAAGACATTTCTATTTTTCCTTTATCAATAATTTTAAAGCCAGCTTGTCCATTAAAGGTTTACTTAAGTTACATGAACTTGAAAAATACTTTAGACTTTCTTAATTTATGAATGGTCTTTTATTTATAAGCCAGTTTAGTAGACACAACATATAAATATATATACATAAACACATGCAGACATTCACACATACACATAAACACAGATCCAATAGCTTTTATCTCAGAACTCCAGCCATGAGACATCTGTGTAAACTCACCCGTTTACATGACTACACTTTGTTTGCCCTAGTAGGTAATCCACTGAAGGCTGTCATGCAAAATGTTGGGCAAAGCAGTTTTCATGGCAGTTTGATTTTAAAAGTCCAAACCTCCCCAGACTCCAAAGAACACTGGGGCCAAATAGCACCACAGAAGAACATCACATACTAACCAGGCCCGACCCTGCTTAGAACAGCAGCACAAAAGCCTGGATACATGAAACTCCATCACGCTTTCCCATGCAACAGCAAACTCCAGATTCTAAACAGTATTACAATAAGCTTTCTAATTCTAACTTCCCATGACACACACACAATAACCAAAACACAATCCAACCACTGCAGCAGCAAACAAGCCCCAAGAGTGTCCAAACTCAATCACGCGCTTCCTACTCTCAGTCAGTTGGGCTTTTTCAACCTGCAAACGGAAATCCTTTACAAGTTTTCCAAATTGAGAGGAGCAGATCCTGCTCTCTGGGCCAGAAAGGACACTTACCTATCTGGGCAGATGTCAAATTTCAAAGGCTGGTTCTTCTGAGGCAATCAGGAACATGGTTGGGGCCGGTAGTGGCAGGGCCAGAGAGAGGGAAACACACTTCTATCCAAAATTGAGCGGTCAGCTGCTTAGGAGGGCTTCTGAGACTCCTGGCCCATAGCAGCAGATCCACTAGCAATGCGTTCCCAGTCAGGGAAGCAAAATCTGTTACCAAAACACCAGGGGTTTAGACTAGGTCCTGCTGCTCACCATACAGTAAAGCTAGACGAGTACTGCCAGGGAAGAAGGATTTAATTAGGTCCTGCAGCCAAGGACATGGGAGATTGGTCTCAAATCCATCTCCCTAATCAACTAAAATTAAGAGTTTATATAGCAGGGAAGAAATGTAATATTGTGTAGGAAAACATGAATTCGGTAGGGGTAAGGAGGCAAAATGAGGAGCCTGGCTCTCATTGTCTGGCTGCAGTGATCTGGTGAGTTTCAGTTCTTTGATACTTTTTGAGAGGCCCGGGGGCCCTTTCCTGAGGAAGGAACTCAGGTTAAAAAAATGTAAGTTTCAAGCTTTAAGGTGAGAAGACTCCATTTCTTTTTTTCTAATTCTTTAATTTTAATTTTTCCGTAAGTTATTGGGGTACAGGTGGTATTTGGTTACATGAGTTAGTTCTTTAGTGGTGACTTGTGAGATTTTGGTGCACCCATCACCTGAGCAGTATACACTGCACCCCTTTGTAGCTTTTTATCCGTCTCCCACTTCCACCCTTCCCCCCAAGTCCCAAAGTCCATTATATCCTTCTTATGCCTTATAGCTTAGCTCCCACATATCAATGAGAACATACAATATTTGGTTTTCCATTCCTGAGTTACTTCACTTAGAATAATAGTCTCCAGTCTCATTCAGGGTGCTGTAAATGCCATTAATTAATTCCTTCTAATGGCTAAGCAGTATTCATCATATATGTATACCAGAGTTTCTTTATCCACTCATTGACTGATGGGCATTTGGGTTGGTTCCACAATTTTGCAATTGTGAACTGTGCTGCTATAAACATGCGTGTGCAACTATCTTTTTTGTATAATGACTTGAGAAGACTTAATTTCTATGTTTATCCAAAAAAACCATCTATGGACTATTGGATCATTTAAAATATATCTTAAAGAAGAATACAAAATAATTAATAATAAGTATCTTTAATGAGTGGAAAGGGGGATTTTAACAATTATACCCTTTCTTATGCTTTTTTTTTTTTG
Source organism: Homo sapiens (assembly GCF_000001405.40). Taxonomy (NCBI): domain Eukaryota; kingdom Metazoa; phylum Chordata; class Mammalia; order Primates; family Hominidae; genus Homo; species Homo sapiens. Next base: position 162,881,548 of record NC_000005.10, read on the forward strand.
GCAGTGTTTATGTAACAATGTTACAATTTTTTTTAAGACAAGGTTTTGCTCTGTCACACAGGCTGGAGTGCAGTGGCACAATTATGGCTCATTGCAGCCTCAACCTCCCGAGTTTAAGTGATTTTCCTACCTCAGCCTCTGGAGTAGATGGGACCACAGCCAGCTAATTTTTTTACTTTTAGCAGAGATGGGGTCTCACAACGTTGCCCATGCTGGTCTCAAACTCCTGGCCTGCCTCAAGTGATCTAACCACCTCAGCCTGCCTAAGTGTTGGGGATACAGATGTGAGCCACAGTGCCCAGCCAAACTTTTTAAAAACAATTTATAAAAATAAATACAATCTGTCTTCCCCTGAAAAAAGAAAGAATGCCTTCTAGTAGAAAAGGATAAGAAACGAGATAATTAATGGGAGCTATGTTTGTATTAAAGAACTAGAAGCGGAACCTCAGAAAGGTCTAGTATCTGCTGCATGCCTATGATTTCATTCTCTTGGGATATGGCGGGGGGGGTGCACGGTAGTGAGCAGACAATAGGACTCATGTTCCATCAGCATATATTTTACATAAACTGTTCAAACCTAAGGTGTCTTAGGTGGAAAATGTACGTATTAGTAAAAGCTTGGGCCCCTAATCCTGCTAGCTGTACATGAAACATTCGGCAAAGCAGAGAAATCCATGGGCTAACCCTGAGTTAATTCAGAGCTTCAGAGAGAAACCTTAGGTTAACGACCCCACATTAACTAGGTTCAGCATAGACTAATGAGCTATTCTTTCTTCTTCCTCTGCCTGTGTGTTTCCCCTTTTCTTTGCATTAAATGTAACCTTTCCAAGGCAACATTTTTTAAACCATTTCTCTAAATTACTGCCTCCCCTCATTTTTATCTATGGCAACCACTGCATTATTTCCATCATAGCATTTATTATAATTTGTCATTATGTTTATTTGTTTTGTATTTGTTTATTGGCTGTAGTGCCCCCTACAGTATATGTTCCATGAAGGCAGGGATCATGACTATCTCTCTGAATACTTTATCCCCAGCTTTAGACAGTGGTAGATATATAGAACACATCCAATAAATATTTATTTCATAAACAGACAGAACATTAAATAAATCATCTTTGTTCCATATACCAAACAGCTCTCATTTCACCAAACTGGGAAAAAATAGGAAACTACTGATTGTTTTGCAGCCCGCCATGCCCAAGCCCCCCGGCAGTGGGCTCGCACATGACCCAAGCCTCCCCGCTGGGCGCTGTCCCCTGCTCCACAGCACCTGCTCCCATCAACCGCCCAAGGGCTGAGGAGGGCAGGCACGTGGCACAGGACTGGTGGGCAGCTCTGCCCGCAGCCCTGGCACGGGATCCACTAGGCGAAGCCAGCTGGGCTACTGAGTCTGGTGAGAACTTGGAGAACTTTTATGTCTAGCCGGAGGATTGTATATGCACCAATCAGCACTCTGTGTCTAGCTCGGGGTTTGTGGATGCACCAATCAGCACTCTGTATCTAGCTAATCTGGTGGGGACTTGGAGAACTTTTACATCTAGCTAAAGGATTGTAAATGCACCAATCAGCACTCTGTGTCTAGCTCAAGGTTTGTAAACTCACCAATCAGTGCTCAGGATCTAGCTCAAGGTTTGTAAACACACCAATCAGTGCTCTGTGTCTAGCTAATCTAGTGGGGACTTGGAGAACTTTTACATCTAGCTAGAGGATTGTAAATACACCAATCAGCACTCTGGGTCTAGCTCAAGATTTGTAAACGCACCAATCAGCACCCTGTCAAAATGGACCAATCAGCACTCTGTAAAATGGGCCAATCAGCTCCCTGTAAAGTGGGCCAATCAGCAGGATGTGGGTGGGGTCAGATAAGGGAATAAAAGCAGGCTGCCCGAGCTAGGGGCACAACTGGGTTGGGTCCTCTTCCACGTTGTGCAGGCTTTGTTCTTTCGCTCTTTGCAATAAATCTTGCTGCTGCTTACTCTTTGGGTCTGCACTGCTTTTATGAGCTATAACACTCACCGCGAAGGTCTGCAGCTTCACTCCTGAGGCCAGTGAGACCACAAACCACCAGGAGGAATGAACAACTCCAGACACGCTGCCTTAAGAGCTGTAACACTCACCACGAAGGTCTGCAGCTTCACTCCTGAAGCCAGCGAGACCACAAACCCACCAGAAGGAAAAAACTCTGAACACATCCAAACATGAGAAGGAACAAACTCCGGACACACCATCTTTAAGAACTGTAACACTCACCACAAGTGTCCGCAGCTTCATTCATGAAGTCAGTGAGACCAAGAACCCACCAATTTTGGACACAGTTTTACTTATAGTTCCCATTACAGGAATTGTCTTAGTCAAATCAGAATTCATTTTTAATGTATTTCCTGGTCGTCACAGGCAAGGTAAGTGGGATTATTTCTGTAGTTTTTTTTTTACATTTTAGGAAAACACATATGTTCATTCTATGGAATTTCACTGGGTTTCAGGGGGTAAATTTGAGGAACAGGCCTTGAAATTTACATAAGAGTTCAAACTTGGCTGGGCACAGTGGCCCATGCCTGTAATCCCAGCACTTTGGGAGGCAGAGGCAGGTAGACTGCTTGAGCCCAGGAGCTCAAGACCAGCCTGGGTAACATGGTGAAACCCCATCTCTACAAAAAATACAAAAATTTGCTGGGTGTGGTGATGCATGCCTGTAGTGCCTGCTACTTGGGAGGCTGAGGTGGGAGGACAGCTTAAGTGAGCTGGGAAGGCAGAGGATGCAGTGAGCCAAGATCGCGCCATTGCACTTCAGCTTGGGTGACAGAGCCCGACTCTGTATCCATAAAGGAAAAAAAAAAACAAAGAGTTCAAAATTATTTGAAGACTTTTTAATTTGTTTCAAGAAACAGATCAAATTAGGAATCTGTTTAAACCATCAATTTCTCAATATTTTTAAAATGTTTGCCATTTGAAATAATTAATTTTGATAACTAAGGGTTTGGCTGTTTCTTAGCAAATTCTTTGGAATAGCTCTATAATCTCGACTATTGTTGATATTTTAATTGGAAGTCTCAAGGAATTGCTGAGTTCCTCATTTATACGAAGAATAACTCAAAGAAGGGCATATTATGCACAATTATTTAACATTTTAATTATAAATGAATTTAAGAAACACTTCTGAGAACTCTTAAATGCTATCTGAATCTGCATAATGTAGAACTTGTAGAAACGTGTTGGGGCCTTTTAAATTCTTGCTCACTGAAATATACTTTCAAGACATCTTTTAAAATTTTCAAAAATAGTTTTAAATTAAATTTATATTTTAAATTAGGTTTTAATCCTCTTCAGAAAAAGCTCAACCTTAATTATGGTTTTCTCACAGCCAAATTTCCTTACACAGAACTATCATTTAGACCAATTGCTTTCACAAGAAAATCTTTACTAATTATTTTTAACATTAGGGCTAAAAAATTATCTCACTTCCCTTATTGGATTAGGGCTTCATCACCACCATAATAAATGCAGACTATGAGACCTGGCCCTGTTTTGGTTAACAAAAAAACATAAAACTGCAAACTTTTCAATGTTGAAATTACTGCTGCCTCTTTAAGTACATTCGTCTATATTCACTGTAATAATGGATTCAATGACAAGTTGGTTGACCTTCTCAAGTTTCTGATGCAAATCAATATTCATAAATAAAAACTGTAAGAGTCTGCTATTTATATTACCAAAAAAACTGTCATGGCCAATAGCATTTCTAAATCCTGCTTAATAAACCACTTGACTCTGCTTGTATAATTGAGAGAGGAGAAGGCTTGTGTCTGAATTATCTACATAAGTGCTTAATTCTGGTGGGAGCGATTTGAACCTAATGTCATTTTTCATAATGTGCATATTAGTTATACTTTAATACCAAACAGTTTCTGGTAAGCCACATTCAGGTTATAGACTTAATATCTAAGTCAAAAACAAAACATAAAAAAAATTCCTCTGTGGTTTTCAACAGGTAGTCCCTGGACCAGCAGTATCAGCAACACTACTTGGGAACTTGTGAAAAATGATATTCTGGGTTCCTGTCTGAGGTCTACTGAATCAGAAACTAGGTATGAGTGTATGGTACTCTGTGCCTTAACAAGCCCTCTAGTTGATTCTGACACTAAAGTTTGAGACCCCCTGCTTTGTATCTTCTACAGTCCTCAGTGGACTCTTGAGTGCTGGCATCTCTCATTGCAGTGTGAGCCTGTGGCTCAGCGCTCCTCTGACTTAGAGAGTTGTTCCCTCTGCATGGACTGCGTTGGCCTCTGAAGTTTAGGTTCACCTCCCCAACAAACGAGGGAGATGTTGGGAATCTATAATGCTCACTTATATTTATATTCTTAACTGCTGCGTAACTGTGGCCATGCTTGGTGCCTGATGGGAATGTAAATTAAATTAACCCAGCTTGATCCAAGTTAGAGTTGATATCATCACCAGTCTTCAAACCTAGACCGATATTTTGTGTTCCAAATCAGTGCAGTGATAGTCTGAAAGAGCAAACAAACCAAAAACAATTCTACTGATGAATTGTCCTTTATATATGACTGACAGTCCACAAGATTTATCTGGCTAATCTGGATCTCTGGATAATGAAATCAACACTTTAGATTTTGACCTGAATAATTTACTTTAATATTTAACAAACAGGAGTCAGTCACTCATTGATGATTCACCAAAACCAGCATCATTCTTAGTATTTGAGATTTCGGAGGATATTGTTTTTATCCTGACCAGTAAATCTAAGAAGTTAGCATGTGATTCATAGGAACCATTGGTCTTTTGAAAGGGCCACTGTATAAACTTTAAGAATTGCTGTTTGAAGTCATCATATGTCTTAAGCAGCATTTTATATATATGTATATATATACACATATGTGTATATATGTATATTTGTATATATGTATAAATGTATATATGTATATATACGTATATATGTGTGTGTATATATGTATGTATATAGGTGTGTGTGTGTGTGTGTAAATTCAATTTTTGTGTCTTCTTCTGCAATAGCTGTCCCCTTCAAACGACTATTTATCCCATACAAATGTAATATTCCAGGGAGTGAAGATGCCTGCTGAGAAAACATAAATGTTCTTTTAAGCCCTGAAAATATATAACCTAAATCTGAAATGTCACTAAAGCAAGAATGTTCAATACTGCCACTAATGGGTAAACTAATGGGTAAATTTAAATGCGAAGTGAGAATGCAGCTGAAGGAAGAAATGGCCTTTCTAAGAGCCTAAGTCAAAAGCAAAATCAAACGTTTCCCCAAAATTGTCCTCATTCTCTACGTGTAAATACAAATGCTTGGTAGTCTTGTGTGATGACGCTTCCCACGGGGTAAGCTTCAGTACCCCAGTGACATCATTAACATATCGGTGGTAGTTTTACTTGCATTTACATTTTCAGTTGCACTTTGACAACTAAAAGGTTGTCAAATCTTAAAGGTGAGTTTTCAATGTTAAAAGATTGAGGAAATCATCTAAATTGCCAAATTGTAGAGAGTAGTCCATAGACTTTGAAAATGGGAAATTACTTATGTGTGCATTTGTCCCTAGCTAGTATTACCATTTGTCTTCCACATCTGTTTACTGAAAAATTATAGTCTAACCTTCAGAAAGCACACAAGGCGAAGCTGGTTTACTCTGATTTTTTGAAACAATTAATTTTAATTTAACTGGGATAGTCTTAGGAAATGTTTATGAAACATTTCATGTTATAACATGATTTAAAAATAATAATTTTACTCAGCACACTGAGGCAAACGGCTAAGAGTAATTTCAGCTACCCCAGACTCCGACCACTGACCACCCCTGGCATCACACAGGCACGTTTGTTACCTATTTGTTCCATACCAAGTTGTATGCACTCCAGTTGTTAGATTTTGCTCTAGCGTTCTTGTTAATCTGTAATTCTTGGAATAAATTACAGAATAATAATAATAAGAGAAAGAAAAAGGGAGAGAGGGAAAAAGACGGAAGCACAGAAGGAGAGAAGGGTAAAGAGACAAAAAGGAAATGTTAAAAAGAAGAGACAGAGGAGGGCAAAAGTAACGATATTACAGAAAGGGAAACATATCAAAAGTAAAATTGATGGTCAAAGCCGAAAGACCCAAATTTAAATTTAAATATAAGCTGAAAGACCTACATTTAAAAAAAAGAGTAAAGATACAAAGCAAGAAAAAGCAGACAGGTTCACAAACAAATCAACTATTATTATAAGAACATTAATTTACAGGGAAAAAAATTTAAGGAGTTATGAATAATTATAGGTGGTACAAAGAGATAGACATTAAAAATAAATATGAGCATTATACCTCCTTTTTCTTTAGCTTTCATTTTTTCTGATTATTCAAGAAGACATACATTTTCAGTTTAATATATGTCTTTCACACTTTTTAAAAATTTTTTCACTTTCTTTTTTAACAAAGAAAGAGCAGAGCTTTTGGCCTTTAGGTAGAACTCAATACCATTATTTTGTTATTCAATAAAATTACTTTTACCATTAACTTCTATGTTACCCAACTGGCACAAGAACAATAGAATCTTAGAAATCTGGTCTTGCCCAAATTGTACATGGCATGCTTTTTTAAATTTCTGAACTAAACCTTAAAAAATACGTTTCCCTAGAGTTGCATCACTCTTAGAACCAAAATGAACATTGGAAAACAGGACTCTGCTCTCTCTCTCTCGTAATGAAAATAAACTTAAATACATCACCTTGATTGTTACAAGTTTTCTTAAAAATCATCATCAAATTATATAAAAACATCCAATTTTCAAAAAAGAAAAAGCAAAATTCTTTGGTCTCCACATTTGTAGGAGTGTGTGTGTGTGTGTGTGTGTGTGTGTTTCATGCTATGAACATATTTATGACTAAAAGCCAAGTAAAAACCATGCTTACCAAGGCTGCTTAATGAAGAGTGAAACATCTTGACTTCTACAGTGTCTGACCACATTCCCTTGAAGTAAAAGCAATGCCGTTTAAATATTAAACCACTGGCCGCTAGCACTTGAGGCTAGCACTTAAATATGGCTAGTCCAAACTGAGATGTGCTGTATCAAGTAGTGATATCAATAATTTAATTGAAAAAAGAATGTAATAATTTTGTATAGATTAATCGTCAAAATGATAAAATTTGGGATACAGTTATTTAAATAAAACATTCAAATTAATTTCACTTTTTAAACATAGGTATAATGAAAGTTTTGTTTATATACATAGTTTGCATTATATTTCTGTTGGACAATACTGTTCTAGAAGCTGTCACCAACAAATTTAGCAATGTAAGGGTTACTAATGACGTTGTGGAGAATATATTTTTGTGAACATTTTTTCACAATTTTGTACGTAATTATGGATCTGTTCTAGTTTTCTGCACCACCTTGAATTATGTTTTATAATATATATTTTTCTAGAAAATCATTAGTTTCAAGAATTTTTGAAACACTTATTAGGTATAACTTGTATATAATATCCTCATAAATTTTTGTTGTTTTCTGGACCACTAGTTATATTTGTAATGTTGAATTATGTACGTGGAGTTTCTACTTTTATCCTTTATTTGGAATTAGTGTATTATTTTTATTGCTTTCTGTTTTCTATTTTAAGAATTTATCATTTTACATTAACTAATATCTTCTATTTCATAGTGCTTTCGCTAATTTCTAAAATTCAATTCTTATTTTCTTTTTGTTGCTTAACAGTAAAAAGCAACAAGACAATAAATCAATGTGATACACCTTTTGCAGCATGGCATAAAATTTTTAATCTTCAATGGTTTCTTTGTCATTATCTACCAAAGAGAATATAGTTTCTTCTTGATTTCTATTTTTCTTGAGAGTTTAGGATTTCCTTTAAACTTCAAATGTATAAGGGTTTTCTGGTTAAATATTTTAAAATTTGTCTTTATGGTGTTCAGAATGGTAAGTGTAAACTGTACAGTATCTACTTTGAGAAATTTAAGATATTGGTTTTAATAACCTAGAATATAAATAATCAACATTCATTTTAAAATCTGTATATCCTCTGCAACATACAAAATTTTATATTTACATATTACATATAGCCTATTGATTTCATACTTCAAAATTTTTAAATCCTTGTTTTTATTTTCAGTCTATACCAATGCCTAGGAGAAAATGTCTCCTTATATTCAAAACGGATTGCTTGTTTCACCAGAAGGGATAATCTTATTGCATGCTTGAATGAGATGCTTCTTTCTTTCTTGTGCTGTTTGTCAATTAAAAAGTAGTTTGTCTTAATTCAGTGGCAGCCATCTTGGAATCATAAGGAAAACTAACTTGTGCAAAAACTGATACTACAGTAGTTCAGCAAAACAGAGAGGTAAATAGAATTGGATGGATGATGAAAGCAATAAGTCACAAAGACAACTAATACTAGAAGTCTTTCGACCTCTAGGATTTTAGGTTGGTAACATATACTATTTTTGCATATTATGTAAATCTAATTTCATTTATATCCCTATTACAACAGAAGACATCCCTGACTTGTTAACAATTCTCTCTCTGCTTCTCACTCAAGACAATGTTAAGGGTAGGCACAAGTTAAATAAGTAATAGTTTGCTACATATGTTAAAATTGCTACAATCACTATTATCTTGAGAAGTAGAAACACTAATATTTCTAAGTGCTTCTCATCTCTAGGCAGGGATATAGATGGTTAATGCATGGAAGATAACATCCATGTGAAACTATTCAACTTTTGGCATGTTTAAGAATAAACGGTGTGACAAACGGTGCATCTGTAATTTCTCAGACATGCTAGTGAACATATGCCCAAATTAAACTCAAATTATTTTTCTCATCTTTTATCCATGAGTCAAATTCTTCCCGAACACCCTCTTGGACATATTCCAAAGGTAAAGCTAACTAGATCACATCTTTCTCTGCCTCTGATTTCTAGGCATTCAGTTATAGGTGGCCTTTAAAATTATAATATTATATTAATATAATATAGTGGAAGCTCTATTACAAGGCAACCAAAAGAACATATTCTTTGTCAACTTTAACTCTGCTTAATATATATTCAGCATTATCTCCTTTTACTTATACAGGTGAAAGAATAAAAGGTTTGTATAGTTCCGCAGTCTCATTTCGGTTTTCTTGCAACTCAATATATTTTTCTTCAAGTCCATCCCTAGGACAAAGAGGGTTGGGTTCTCTCAACCAGCGTACCTGGCCAAGGTAATTGCACTTGAAATGACACCTCCCTTTTAGAAACTTTCAAAGACTCCTTGATATATTCTCAAAAACAAAAATACCACAATTGAACTTTAATGCTTATATCTACATACTTCTAAAGCATTAACTAACTCATTTTATTTCCAGTAACCTATCTTTCTATTGAAGATTGTATTTTCCAAAGATGATCATTGTGAGCTCTTGGAGTTGGCTCCTGTGTCCTTTCGATATATCTTACTATTATCTTTATTATTATTATTAGGAACTTGATTTTCTGGCACTATATGATGCTCCAGATTCATTTTGTACATTTTACACCACAGCCCTAGAATAAGCATTTCTCTGAGGAACTCTGGTTTGTTTTTATTTTTGTTTTGTTTTGGAAGTTAGTACTAGAAAGCAACATTTGGACCCTAGCTGTATTTGTTGATACTGGGGTGTCATCAATTCTAGGCTTTCTTAGCTGACAGAATAAGAAAATAGATATTTGTATACTAACCCATGTGTTTACATATGTCTATTAGTCTGCACACAAATGCACACACACACACATATACACCACACATATATATCCATCCATATCAATATTATCTATATTAAGCTAAACATAAGTTTACACTAATATCTCCAACTCTAAATCATTACCCCAGGGATCATTATGGCGTTCTTGCTTATTTATAAATCCCCACCCCAACAGGGATAAACACAGCTCCCACCAGCTGTCATTTACTCACTTAATTGTTCAATTCCAGTATATACATATCACAGAATGATAATAAATAATTCACCTATAATCCCACGGGAAATTACTTATTCATCCACACTACAGTATTTGTGTACTGCTACATTTTTGGGGGTGTTTTGGCTTTGCTTGTGGTTTTTATTTATTTATTTTTTGCCTTTTGTCTTAGGCACTCCATTCATTTCTAAATTTACTGAGATCAGCATCTTCCTCACACCTGCCTGTCTTCATCCGGGTTTTTTAATACACTTGTATTATAATTAGTTTGTTTTTTTCATATTCTGTATTCCACCCTGGAATCCTTTGATCTACCAAATGATATTGGCAAAATTTGCATACATTAAAGTTTACTCTTTGTGCTATATATAAAGTTCTATGAGTTTCGGCAAATGTATAGTGTCATGTGTTCACCATTACAGTGCTATACACAGGTTTACCAACCTAAGAAGTCCCTGTGCATTAACTTTTCAACCCTGCCCCGCTCCTCACAAACTCTTGGCAGCTAGTAATTTTTTTAATGATCTCTGTCATTTTGCCTTTTCCAGAATGGTTGTATAATTGGAATCAGATGCTGTGTAGGTTTTTAGACTAGCTTCATTTACTTAGCAATATGCATTTCGGATTCATCCATGATATTTTGAGGCTTGATAGCTCATTTCTTTTTATTGCTGAATAACATGTCATTGTATTGATGTCCATCCATCAATGTTTATTTCCAAACAATTGTATTGATGTCCATGCATCAGTGTTTATTTCCATGCAAAGTGTATTACTGTTACTTGGCCGCTTCCAGTTTGGGGTAATTATGAATAAAACTGCTATAAACATTTGTATCAAGGGTTTTGTGTGGACACAGTTTTCAAAATAATTGAATAAATAATACCTAGAAACATTATTGCTAGATTGCATGGCCTTTGCTTTCTTTCATTTATTTTTGCCCAGTATTCTTTTGACCATTTCTTTTATTTTTACATTTTGTGTAATCTTGTTTCAGATATACCTTGCGTACATAATAATATATAGCAGGGGTGTCCAATCTTTTGGCTTCCCTGGGCCACATTGGAAGAAGAATTGTCTTGGGCTACATATAAAATACAGTAACACTAATGATAGCTGATGAGCTAAAAAAAAAAAAAAAAAGTGAAAAAAAAACAAAAAAATCTCATAATGTTTTAAGAAAGTTTATTAATTTGTGTTAGGCCACATTCAAAGCCATCTTGGGCTGTATGCAGACAGGCTTGATATATAATATAGAATATATTGGAAATAGAAGTTTTACTCAAACTAATCTTTGACTTTTAACAAGTCAAATATGCATGTGTACATGTATATTTATATGTATTATAATATTTGATGGTTACCTTTATGTTTTAAAATTACGACTACATATTTTTGTTTAAAACTATCACAAGAAAGATACAGCATCTAGTGACTGTCTCCTGTGAAAATCGAGAAATTGTGCATACTTTTATTTCCCTTTTCATGTTTCAGAGCTGTAGATATAATCTAGAACAGTGAATCTAAATCTTTATAGTAGTAAAAACTTATCTTCAAACAAATACTGCGTGAAAATCCAATACATAAAACAGTTAAACATTGCAGCTGTTCTCATTGGGTCACACTGAGTTTTCCCTCCTCAATTCTTTTTAATCCTTCTGAGAAGGTTCCAAGATGGTCTTTGTTTTATAATAGTATTTCTTTGCCATCTCATTACAATATGCCAAACTCATCTTCTCACAAATAGTAGGCCTTTAGAAGAAATGTGTGTTTTCACCCTTTTATTTTACTGTTACTACTTACGGTAAGTGAGCCTAGTGTTTAACCAACCATTTTAATACAAGGTCTCCTCCTTAGATAAAATGATTCAAATAACAGAAGTGAGTTGCTCTAAAGAAAAATATGTAAATAATACAAATACAATATTTATGTGGCAAAAAAATTCCAACGGTAACAAAGGAATAGCACAATTTTAGAAAACCCTGCTCTACACCAAGTTTCCTAGGAGAAGTAAAGTAGATCAAGGAGAAATAGAAAGTGTTGTCTGAGACTGAATATAGGTAGACGAGGGATCTTTCAAATATTTTAAGTGAAAAACAAAATCTTAGGGGAAATATAATAAAATTAGCAGATTTCATGAGAATTTTTACAAGGCAACAGACCTATGTTAGAGTTATAGACTACTCTAGTTTGCCTTTCTTCCTCGTTTTAACCTTTAGCAAGTAGTAAGTCTTCTTAAAGAGTAAATAATAATAAGCTGCCACAAGATGAAAGCATGAAAATGCACAGAGAAAGTAACAATTATGAGGAACATGTAAAGTATATCTGAAGAAGAGTCAAAAATGCAAATAAGAAATACTCAGGATATACGGGCCGGGCACGGTGGCTCATGCCTGTAATCCTAGCACTTTGGGAGACCAAGGAGGGCAGATACCCTGAGATCAACAGTTCGAGACCAGCCTGGCCAACATCGCAAAACCCCATCTGTACTAAAAATACAAAAATTAGCCGGCGTGGTGGCGCATGCCTGTAATCCCAGCTACTTGGGAAGCTGAGGCAGGAGAATCGCTTGAACCGAGGAGGCAGAGATTGCGGTGAGCTAAGATCGTGCCACTGCACTCCAGCCTGGGTTACAGAGTGAGACTCTGTCAAAAAAAAAAAAAAAGAAAGAAAAAAAAGAAAAGAAAGAGAGAGAAATATTCAGGATATAATAAAATTCTCCTTCAAATCAGAAAAAATAATTTGAAATTTAGATTAAGAGAGCCACCTGTATATTGATAAGACCTTCTAGTGATATACTGAAATAACATTATTAAACTTCAAAAATAAGGAATGAATCTAATATATGCCTATGCAAGAAAACTGAGTAATGTGCTAAGAAAAAACTGATTTACTTCAAACTATTCTATGGCAACACTCAATGCCAGAATAAAGTGAATTAATGTGTGTAGTAGGTTGAATAATGGTCACCCAAAGACATCAATTTCTAATTCCTAGAACTTGTAAAAGTTACTTTGTCTGGGAAAAAAGTGTTTGCAGATTTGACCAAATTAATAATTTTGAGATGAAAAAGTTAACCTGGACTTTCCAGAGGGGCTCTGGATGCCATCCTAAGTGTCCTTGTAAAATTGAAACAGAAGATGCTTTTATTTATTTATTTATTTTGAGACAGAGTCTCACTGTGTCGCCCAGGCTGGAGTGCATGGCGCAATCTTACCTCACTGCAGCCTCCGCCTCCCGGGTTCAAGCAATTCTCCTGCCTCAGCCTCTTGAATAGCTAGGATTACAGGAGCCCGCTGGTCTCAAACACCTGACCTCAAGTGATCCTCCCTCCTCGGCCTCCCAAAATGCTGGGATTACAGGCATGAGCCACCGCAACTGGCCCCGAAATAGAAGATTTCAAACAGACATAAAGAGAAGAAGGTTATATGAAGATGTAGGCAAAGATTATAGTAATATAACCACAAGCCTAGGAATGTTGAAGCAGCTACCAGAATCTGGAAGAGGCAAGGAACAGATTCTCCTCTATGCACCCTGGAGAGAGTGCAGCCTCAATGGATTTCAGGGTTCTAGTTTTCAGATCTTCAGGAAAATTAATTTCTTTTATTTTAAGCCTGTAACTAGAGAGGGAGCCAAGTTGGCCAACTAGATGCAGCCAGGAAGAACTTCTTCCATCGAGAGAGAACAAACCATCAAGTAGGCCGGCACACTTTGAACAGATCTTTAAAAAGAAGGCATTGAGAGTGGACAGAGGACGAATGCAGATCCCAGGCTTAAAGAGGAGGAAGCTGGGAACTCTGAATGAGGCTGATAAGCGCCAGGACACATTCCAGGCCACGAGCAGCTCCTGGGGAAGAGATAAGTGAAATAGGCGTGGAATGGTTCACTCTCACCATGGACCTCCAGAATCCTAGCTGCAGGAGACCCCACCACTCCAAAGGAGATTTGAGTTGGCAGGGGGATCTTCCTCCAGAGTTGACAGAAACAAAACTCCAGCCTGCATGAAGCCCAGAAAGTTTGGTGTGGGAATAGATGCAGTGGAGCACAGTCATGATTTCTGGTCCCCCAGTGCTCACCATGCTGCTCTAGGTGGCTTGACCTTTGTTGTCCGCTGAACCTGGATAGAGCAGGGTTATCCTGCCTGTGACACAGGTCCAGTCTGATCTGAGCACCCCCGATCTGCCAGTCTATCCCAGGGTCCCTGCCTGGCCACACCCACTGGCAGTGTAGCTTCAGCTACCAAGGTGAGGCACTTGCCAGCAGGCACCACCATAGCTTTCTTGTCAGCAGACCCCACCTAACAGTTGGAGCACTTCTGCAGGCAAGCCCCAGTCAGCGAGCACATACTCAAAGCCCTAACCCATTGGTATGTGCTTGCCCACAGCCTCCCCTCACTGCTTCAGCCACATGTGCACACAGGACCTACTAGTGCCCACTGCTAGCAGCATGCATACATGGGGACCCCTACCACCCAGTGCCCTGCCGCTAAAGTGTTTTTGCCAACACCCATCATCAGAGTGTCATTGCCAGTTGACTGAGAACACCTTGGCCACTCCAGCATAGCAGGTACTTAACCTTAAGGGGCCAGAGAAAAAAGCTGTGGATGGGCCTCATCTCAGCATGAAGCCCAGGATTCCTGAGCTGAGCCTTGGTCCCCTGAAATTATCCAGAAACAAAGTAAACTGACTGAACCCATCTTATACCACTGTCAAACCCTAAGGAGCATCAAATTGTATAAAAGCAAAAATCCCCATGCAAAAGACAGCAACTTCAAACATTAAATGAGCATCAGCCCGCACAGATAAGAAGAAACCAGTGTAATAACTCTGGCAACCCTAAAAGCCAAAGTGTCTTCTTACCTCCAAACAATTGCACTAGCTCCCCAGCAGTGGTTCTTAAGCAGACTGAAATGGCTGAAAAGACAGATGTAGAATTCAGAATCTAGATGGCAACAAAGATCATCAAGATTCAGGTATTGAAACCCAATCTAAGGAATCTAGAGAATTAAATAAAATGATGAAAGAGATGAAAAACAAAATAGGCTCTTTAAGAAAGAACCAAACAAGAATTTTATAATATAATTGGAAGTATTAACAGCAAAATAGACCAAACTGCAGAAAAAAATATCAGAGCTTGAAGACTGGTTCTTAGAATCAACTCAGACAAAAATAAAGAAAAAATTTTAAAAATGAAAAAATCCTCAGAGTAAATGGGGATTATATAAAGAAACCAAACCTATGATTCACTGGTATTCCGGAAAGACAGGGAGAGAGAGCAAGCACCTCAAAAAACCTATTTGAAGACGATGTCCACAAATGTTACCTCAACCTCTTTAGAAAGGTGAACATGCAAATTCAGGAAATTCAGTACCTCGGTGAGATATTACATCAGATGAACATCCCCCAGTCATACAGCCATCAGATTCTCGGAGGTCAACACAAAATTTAAAAAATATATATTTAAGGCAGCTAGAGAGAAGGGACAACTTATAGAGAAAGAAAATCTCAACAGCCTAACAAGAGACCTTTCCACAGAAACCTTAAAAGCCAGAAGAGACTGGGGGCCTGTATTTGACATACTTAAAGAAAAGAAATTTCAACCGAGAATTCCATATCCAGCCAAACTAAGCTTCATAAGCAAAGGAGAAATGAAATGATTTTCAGACAAGCAAACGCTAAGGGAATTCATTACTAGCAGACCTATATTATAAGAAGTCCTTAAGGGGCTTATAAATATGAAAACAAATGACCATTATTTGCCACTATCAAAACACACTTAAGTATATAGCCCACTGACATCATAAAGCAACTATATAATCAAATCTACATAAAAACTAGCTAACAACATGATGACAGTATCAAATCCTCATATATCAATTTTAATCTTGAATGTTAATGGAATAAATACCCAACTTAAAAGGCACAGCTGGCAAATTGTATAAAGAACGAAGACTCAACTGTATGCATTCTTCAGAGACCCATCTTACATGCAATGATATCCACAGGCTCAAAGTAAAGGGATAGAGAAAGACCTATCCAGCAAATAGAAAACAAAAGAGAGCACAGGCTGTTATTCTTATTTCAGTCAAAACAAACTTTAAACCAACAATGATAAAAAAAAATACAAAGAAGGGCACTGCATAATGATAAAGATTTCAATTCAACAAGAACACTTAAGTATTCTAAATATACATGCACTCAAGACTGGAGCATCCAGATTGATTAAACAAGTTGTTAGAGATGTACAAAGAGATTTAGATTACCACACAATAATAGTGAGAGACTTCCACACTCTGTTGACAGTGTTAGATAGTTCAACAAGGCAGAAAACTAACAAAGATATTTGGGACCTAAAGTTGACACATGACCAGATGAACTTAGCAGACATCTACAGAATAGTCCACTGAACAAGAACAGAATATACATTCTTCTCATCTGTGTGAGAAAATATTTTAAATGGTCCATTTTCAAGGCATAATAAATTTAAGGACTGGCAGCTATCCTGCAAATGTAACAAACTGCACAGCTCATGCACCTAGAAGGTCACAATAAGCGAACAGAATGCAGAGGAGGGGTCAGCCCATAAAAGGGGAAAAAGTTTCATAATTGGGAAATTGAAATTTAAGTGGGGAAGGGGATGCGGCATAACCTTATAAGGGGGGTAATAAAATATAAACGCCTTAGTATTTGCTTGTCTGGGAAGATTGTAACCCCATACTACTTGACAATGAGGAATTGGGGGAGGGACTCGAGTGCTAGAAGATAAAGTGCCTGTTGTGACTGCCCCAGATGTGCTCACCGGACATTCAATCTTGCAAGACCGTTATTAAAAAGTCTCACTTTCACTGTTCTTCTTGCTTCTAAGTCCATTCTTTGTGTTTGGATGGATAAGTGTGTTTCTCACAATCTGCATATGGTACATACTCTAAGATCGAACACATGCTCAGCCATAAAGCAATTCTCAGCAAATTCAAAAAACCTAAAATCACACCAACCACACTCTGGGACCACAGCACAATAAAAATAGAAATCAATACAAAGAAGATCTTTTGAAATCATACAATTATGTGGAAATTAAACAATGTACTCCTGAATGACTTTTGGGTAAAAAATAAAATTAAGACAGAAGTCAATAAATTATTTGAAACAAAGATGCAACATAACAGAATCTCTGGGACACAACTAAAGCAGCGGTAAGAGAAAAGTTTATAACTCTAAACACCTACATCAAAAAGTTAGAAAGATCTCAAATTAACAAACTAACATTATACCTAGAGTAATTAAAAACACAAGAGAAAAAAACAGGCCGGGCGCGGTGGCTCACGCCTGTAATCCCAGCACTTTGGGAGGCAGAGGCGGGCGGATCATGAGGTCAGGAGATCGAGACCATCTTGGCTAACACGGTGAAACCCCGCCTCTACTAAAAATACAAAAAATTAGCCGGGCGTGGTGGTGGGCGCCTGTAGTCCCAGCTACTCGGGAGGCTGAGGCAGGAGAATGGCGTGAACCCGGGAGGCGGAGCTTGCAGTGAGCCGAGATCGCGCCACTGCACTCCAGCCTGGGCGACAGAGCGAGACTCCATCTCAAAAAAAAAAAAAAAAAAAGAAAGAAAAAAACAGCCCCAAAGCTAGCAGGAGAAAAAAATAACCAAAATCAGAGCAGAACTGAATGAAATGGAGACGTGAAAATCCATACAAAAGATCAACAAAACCAAATTTTGTTTTTTGAAAGAATAAATAAGATTGATAGACTGCTAGCTAGAGCAATAAAGAAAAAAGAAGATCCAAATAAACACAATCAGAAATTACAAAGGTGACCACTAACCCCACAGAAATACAAACCCCATTACCACTAACCCCACAGAAATACAAAACAAACAACAACAAACCCTGAGAGACTATTATAAACACTTCTATGCACACAAACTAGAAAACCTAGAAGAAATGGATAAATTTCTGAAAACATACAAGCTCCCAAGACTGAACCAGGAAGAAATTCAATCCCTGACCAGACCAATAACATGTTATGAAATAGAATGAGTAATTTAAAAAAAAAAGCCCTACCAACCAGAAAAGGCCCTGGACCAGACGGATTCGTAACCAAGTTCTACTAGATGTATAAAGAGCTAGTACCAATACTACTGAAACTCTTGCAAATATCTTCTGAAACTCATTCTATGAGGACAGCATTATTTTGATGCCAAAACTTGGCAGAGACACAATAAAAAGAGAAAATGTTAGGTTAATATCCCTGATTAACATAGATGCAAATATCCTCAACAAAATACTAGCAAAACAAATCTAGCGCACATAAAAAAGCAATCAAACATGATTAAATAGGCTTTATTCCTGAAATGAAAGGTTGGTTCAACATATAGAAAACAATAAATGTGATTCATCACAAAAACAGAACTAAAAGCAAAAACTACATGATCATCTCAGCTGAGGCAGAAAAGTCTTTTGATAAAATTCCACATCCCTTCATTTTAAAAACCCCAAAAAATCTAGGCATCATAGGAACATTCCTCAAAATAATACGAGTCATCTATGACAGAGCTACAGCATAATGCTGAGCAGGGAACAGCTGGAAGCATTCCCTTTGAAAACCAGAACAAGAGAAGGATGGTCACTTTCACCACTTCTATTCAGCATAGTACTGGAAGTCCCAAGAAGAGCAATCAGGCAAGAGAGAAAGAAATAAAAGGCATCCGAATAGGAAGAGAGGAAGTCAAAATAACTCTCTTTGTAGATTATATAATTCTATACTTAGAAAACACATAATTTTTGCCCAAAAGCTTCTAAATCTGATAAACAGCTTTAGCAAAGTTTCAGGATACAAAATATATGTAGAAAAATTAGTAGCATCTCTATATACCAGCAACATCCAAGCTGAGAGCCAAATCAAGAACACAATCCCTTTTGCAATAGCCACAAGAATAAAATACTTAGTAATACAGCTAACCAGGGAGATATCAGATCTCTACAGCAAGAATTATAAAACGCTACTCAAAGAAATCAGAGATGACACAAACAAATGGAAAAACATTCCATGCTCATGGATAGGAAAAAATAATATTGTTAAAATGGCCATACTGCCTAAAGCAATGTACAGATTCAATGCTATTCTTATCAAACTATCAAAGTCATTTTTCACATGACTAGGAAAACTATTCTCAAATTCATATGGAACTACAAAAGAACCTGAATAGCTTAGCAATCCTAAGCAGGAATAATAAAGCCAGAGGCATCACACTACCCAACTTCAAATTAATACCACTAGGCTACAGTAACTGATACAGTTTGGCTGTGTCCCCACCCAAATCTCATCTTGAATTGTAGCTCCCATAACTCACACATGTTGTGGGAGGAACCCGATTGCAGATATTTGAATCATGGGGGCAGTTTCCCCCATAAAGTTCTCATGGTAGTGAATAAGTCTTATGAGATCTGATGGTTTTATAAGGGGAATCCGCTTTCACTTGGTTCTCATTCTCTCGTGTCTGCCACCATATAAGACATACCTTTTTCCTTCCACCATGATTCTGAGGCCTCCCCAGCTATGTAGAACTGTGAGTCCATTAAACCTCTTTTTTCTTTACAGATTACCCAGTTTCAGGTATGTATTTCTGAGCAGTGTGAGAACAGACTAATACAGTAACCAACACAGCATGGTACTGGTACACAATCAGACACATAGAACAACGGAACAGAGTAGAGAACCCAGGAATAAAGGCACATACCTACAAATATCAGATCTTTGACAAAGTCTACAATAATAAGCAATGGGGAAAGGACTCCTTATTCAATAAATGGTGCTGGGATAACTGGCTAGCCATATGCAGAAAATTGAAACTGGACTCCCTTTCACCATATACAAAAATCAATTCAAGATGGATTAAAGACTTAAATGTAAATCCTAAAACTATGAAAACTCTAGAAGAAAATATAGGAAATACCATTTCAGACATAGGCTTTGGCCAAGTGCTTGTCAGCACTTATGATTGCATTAGACAATTTTTTGAATTAGTCTACCTAGCTCATGTGCTTGTGCACTTTCTCTTTCTTCTTTCTCTTTTTTTCTTTTTCTTTCTTTTCTTTCTCTCTCTTTCTTTTTTCTTTCATTTTTTTCTTTTGCTTTTCTTTCTCTCTTTCTTTCTCTCTCTCTCTTTCCCTCTCTCTTTCTCTTACTTTTACCATTCTATTGGTTCTGTTTTTGTGGAGAACCCTGAATGATATAGAAACTAATTATTATCATTAATTAATACATATTTATTTCAGTTCATCACATTCTATTTATTTATTTTGTGTGTGATGGAGTCTTGCTCTGTCGACAGGCTGGAGTGCAGTGACGCAATCTCGGCTCACTGCAACTTCCGCCTCCTGGGTTCAAGCAATTCCTGCGTCAGCCTCCTGAGTAGCTGGGACTACAGGCGTGCGCTACCACACCCAGCTAATTTTTGTATTTTTAGTAGAGACGGGGTTTCACAATGTTGGCCAGGATGGTCTCGATCTCTTGACCTCAAGATCCGCCCGCCTCAGCCTCCCAAAGTGCTGGGATTACAGGTATGAGCCACCATGCCCAGCCTATCACATTCCTTTTTAAAGAATTAAATTACAATTAAATTTTCTTTTAAAAATATGGCATTATAACGCAATGTCATTTTAAAAAGTTTCTTTTTTTAATCATTATACTTTAAGTTTTAGGGTACATGTGCACAACATGCAGGTTTGTTACATATGTATACATATGCCATGTTGGTGTGCTGCACCCATCAACTTTTGGAGGCCTAGATGGATGGATCACTTGAGATCATGAATTCAAGGCTAACATAATGAAACCCTGTCTCTAGAGAAATACCAAAAAGAATTAACTGGGCGGGGTGGTGCATGACTGTAATTCCAGCTACTTGGGAGGCTGAGGTGGGAAAATCCCTTGAACTTGGGAGGAAGAGGTTGCAGTGAGGGTGGACAACAGAGTAACACTCTTTCAAAAACAACACAAAACAAAAAAGTTTGCTTCTTTTTCTTCTTATAGTTTTCTTCACTTCTTTTTCTTTGCTCCTTTACTTTCTTCCTTCCATCTTATGTCTGCAAGTCTGTACGTATCCAAGGAGAAATGACTAGAACAATATTCGTTATTCCTGTGAAGGTAATTTCTAGCTAGTGAGGTTTTCTATTTTTTTAGCTTTCTTTGTCCTTGTTGATATGCTTGAAAATGTTACAAATAATATGTAATACATTCTTATAAAATATCCAAAACCAAATAATGCTGAAATAACCAATCATCTAGAAGAAAACTAAGTTGGAATTTTTTCTCTCTTACACAAATACACGCACATGAATTCTAAGTGTTTTAAAGACTTAAATGCAGTAAAATAAATGAATGTGGAATTAAAAGAAAACAAATTAAGCCCTGATATGAAAAGTAGAAACCATTAGTATATAACTTATCAACTATTAGAGTGGCACAGTACTTTAATACATAAAGATCAAGAAAAATAAATTAGAAGGGGAAGAATTACTTAATAACATAAAAATAATAGAATATATGCCAAACAAGTTATAGAAAAAATTAAATGTAAAACTAAAAAAAATGTGTAACATCTCTGCCATTCATGAGGAAAAGGGTTACTTCTGACTTGTTACTTCTGGAACTCCCAACTCTTAGCAGCGTCACTGGTATGCAATAGTATCTTAGTGTATTGTTAAACGACAAGAAGGAAAGAATCAAGGAAAGGAGAGAAAATAAAAGGCAGAAATGTGCCAAATTTTAAGATAATTCTACTGTGCTCTTTTTCTTCTATTTCTTCACCTTTTCTACAATGAATACATTATTAAACACATGTTACTTTTAAAAAAATAAAAATAAATCTTCTTAAAATAAGAAAGTGTAGAATAGTGTAGAATTAAATACATTGTAGTATTCACCCTCTTTTAATATTCTTTGACAAAATGTGATTGCAATTATCTTTCAATATGTATTTAAACTGTGTTAAAAACACAAATATCTATAAATTGTACCTCTGAAAAGTTTTAGTTTTGGTCTTAAAGAAAATAGAATTATTTAACTATTTTCATTGAAAAAATTGAATAATAATCATCATGGATTAATAATTTAAGTATTAATGCAAATTTTCTAGTTGCATTATTTACTATTTGTTTGACCTGGAACAAGATATGATGTACTTATCACAGTGTCTGGCATTTTGTTTTTAAAAAAAGGGAGTTCAGTAAAAATATAGCTATTAAGATACATCTATAGAAATTTTCAGTATGGTAATCTGAGAAGGAAAAGAATATCAGTGGAAGCACCATGGCATAATAAAAGCAAATTTATACAATAAAAAATTATTTTATTGCCATTGTAAAATATCCATTCACGTCTTTTGAAAATAAAATCTTGCTCACAATGTGTTTTTCATAGAGCTGGAGAATATTATTATAAAAGTCAGCAGATGAAGTTGATCATCTCATTTGTGAATGTGAGTTATTGCTAAATTCAACAGCTGCAGAGGATGAATTACTTTATATCCCCTTTCCATGACAAAGCATAGTTCATTTTTTGCCTTGGACAGTTTATATAGGAAAAGCAAAGAAACTGGGATACTTGGATCCACACTAAGCAGTTTTAATACTACATGTTTGCTTACAAAAATTGAATCTTTCCTTGAAAAAATAATTGTTGATTTAAATAAAATGTAAATCTCATTAACAGCCACATAATGAGGATGAAATCTATTGAAAGCGAAAAATGAATTTCCTCTTCATATAATTATAGCTGCCTAAACTTATCAAAGGCAAAAGGGACAATTGAAAGTATTTTTTTTATTAATTACAAGTTCAAAAAACCACATAAGCAAAGTGAGGCACATCAACTTTCCCTTACAAAAAATAACTTCATAAATAAATATTCTGGTGTTAGAAAAATACTATCACTGCTCAAAATAGGAATCTCTGTCTTCAAGCATTTATTACACATTTTATTATCATTTGCTTGATTTCCTGCAACTAACCTTGGTACCTCCAGCAAAAATTTATTTCAGATGTTTAGGACTGAATGATAGTTTGTGGATACAACAATAGTGCTGTTTATATAGAGTGACTTTAACAAGCAGAATACTTAAAGTACTTTATAAATAATATTATCTCTAATATAATAGCATGATTTAAATAATGGATTGAAATCTGTTTTCTTACCAATAATTTATAATATTTTCTGAATCCAGTCTCCTCCATAACACCTTCCCTGATCACTCTAGCTGCATTGATTTCATTTTTTTTTTTTTTTTTGAGACAAATTTCGCTCTTGTTGCCCAAGCTGGAGTGCAAATGGCACCACCTCGGCTCACTGCAATATCGGCCTCCCAGGTTCAAGCCATTCTCCTGCCTCAGCCTCCTGACTAGCTGGGATTACAGGCACCTGCCACTACGCCCAGCTAATTTTTGTATTTTTAGTAGAGACGGGGTTTCACCATGTTGGCCAGGCTGGTCTCGAAGTCGGGACCTCAGGTGATCCACCCACATCAGCCTCCCAAAGTGCTGGGATTACAGGCGTGAGCCACCATGCCGGGCTGGTTTCATTTTTCTGTTTTTTTTATTATGTTCATCATCAGTAGCAGCATAGGGTTTAGCACTTAATTGCATGATGAGGTTTAGCCTGGTTCCCGAACCCAGGTAAAAGCCCTGAGAGTGAAAGCTTCATGCTTTGTTCCTTTAAATGCATCACATTTTCTCACTCATTGTCATATGAGCTTATTATATGCCAATCACTTTCCCTAGAGGATTTTATATGTAGTACCTTATTTAATTCACACAATAGCCCTGTGAGATGGATATTTTATATCTATTTTTCCAAATGAAAAACCTGAGGCACAGTCAAATCAGGAGTTAATTCTAAACCATCTGACTACAAAACCTTTCCTGTTTGATTGCATACAACCACATAGTAGATATCCAACAAGCACTTGGGGACAGAAGAAGAAGGTGAGCCAATATCAGATTCAGATCCTAGGATCTCAGTTCTAATGGCTCGTTACCCTAAAAAACATGTAGTGGGTATAAAATAACTAAAAGGATATAGAAGGTATTGGAATTAAATTAATTCTAGTCAAGTCTATTGAAGGCACATTGAAAGTAAAATTCTTCTATCTGGCACTCAAGTTCCTTTAAAAACTTTTCATGTTAGAATAATTTTAGACTCATAAGAAGTTGTAAATACAGCACTGAGAGTTCCCATATAACTTTCACTCAGCTTCTGCAGTATTAACATCTTACCTCACCATATTACATCATCAAAACCAGGAAACTGGCATTGATAAAATACTATTAACTACAGACTTCATTTGGATTTCATTCATTTTTGCATGTGCTTGTGTGTGTGTGTGTGTCTATGAAATTTTATCTCATATACAGATTCATGTAGCCACCCCCTCCAACAGAATTTAGAAGTTTCAAGACTTCATGTATATATAAGTATATATATGTGTGTATATATGTGTATTTGTGTATATATATACACGTATATATGTGTGTATATATGTGTATGTGTATATACATATATACATATATATACATGTAGGTATATATGTGTGGGTACACACATATAGGTATATATGTGTGGGTACACACATATAGGTATATATGTGTGGGTACACACATATAGGTATATATGTGTGGGTACACACATATAGGTATATATGTGTGGGTACACACATATAGGTATATATGTGTGGGTACACACATATAGGTATATATGTGTGGGTACACACATATAGGTATATATGTGTGGGTACACACATATAGGTATATATGTGTGGGTACACACATATAGGTATATATGTGTGGGTACACACATATAGGTATATATGTGTGGGTACACACATATAGGTATATATGTGTGGGTACACACATATAGGTATATATGTGTGGGTACACACATATAGGTATATATGTGTGGGTACACACATATAGGTATATATGTGTGGGTACACACATATAGGTATATATGTGTGGGTACACACATATAGGTATATATGTGTGGGTACACACATATAGGTATATATGTGTGGGTACACACATATAGGTATATATGTGTGGGTACACACATATAGGTATATATGTGTGGGTACACACATATAGGTATATATGTGTGGGTACACACATATAGGTATATATGTGTATACACGTGTATACACATATATATAGGTATATATGTGTATACACGTGTATATACACATACATATATGTATATATACACGTAGATATACACATACATATATGTATATATACACGTAGATATACACATACATATATGTATATATACACGTAGATATACACACACACACACACACACACACACACACACAGATACTATATGCCCAGCACAAGCACTTTCTTCATTCAGGTCAGACTTCTTACTGATCTCTATATCTGTCATAATCTCTCCACTAAATAGAATGCTTCTGGTCCACTGCTTTTACATCCACTTATCTCAAAAATAATCATGAATCTATTTTTAAAACTTTGATAAATTATATTTAAATATTGCTTTTGGATGTTACATTTTGTGGAAACATATAAGCTTCATTATCTAAAGTTTTCTGAAACTCATGGATGTGCTGAAC
Organism: Homo sapiens; assembly: GCF_000001405.40. Lineage (NCBI taxonomy): Eukaryota > Metazoa > Chordata > Mammalia > Primates > Hominidae > Homo > Homo sapiens. The sequence continues at coordinate 162,907,133 of NC_000005.10, forward strand.
TGTTGCTAGGGAACAAATTCCTATAGGTGCTAATCAAATTCCTAAAAGAGAGAAAGGATAAGAGCTCACAAATACATTTTTGTTTTTGTTTTTAATTAAGCAATTAAAGCGGTAGAGTTGTGCAGATGGAAAGAGAGATATGGACCTTCAGATATGCAAATATTTTAAAGAAACATTTAATAGAATCCCTCATTTTATAACATGTTATAAAATGCTGAGATTTGCCCCCATCATACAGCAAGTTAGTGATTTAGCCTGGATTAAAACCCACTAGTTTCCAACAGGCACACTTCCCATTATGCCTCACTGTCTTTAACAGGTGGAAAGAGGGAAAACACTTGTAGAGGCCAACTTCTGACAAGTGGCAGACAGCCCAATAGGAATCTAGCTTCAAAATCAGATCAGGCTTGGATGAAACAGAGATTTAAAGATTTAATGATTCGTGAGAGAGGTGCCTAATTACACATGACATTAGAAACTTTCCAGTTTTCATTTTAGATTTGGTAGTATTTAAATTAGCTATCTTCATTTAATTTTTGATGAGTAAACCGAGCTATACGTATTAGACATGTGGTCTGATAATATTTAAACCACCCGGAATCACTGAAATGTGATAGACAGATACTCAACATAGTGGACCAATCATTTAAGTATTTTTTAAAAATCATGACAATTAAATCTGAAAATGTAAATTTATAAGGATCATCACCTCCTTTTTTTCCCAAAAGTACCACTCTTAAAACCGATTTGTTCTGATTTTTTGATGTCTTAATTAGTTCGTATTAATCTAACTCTTCTCTGATCTACTCTACTACTTATAATCTGTATCAAAGATTTTAACAACTGACTAAACCCTTTCATATTATTTTTCTCTATATGTTCTTTTATCATCGGGAAGAGCACTTTGTAAAGGAGCCTGTGTTTAGTACTCTTCTTATTCAACCTGGCCATAGAGCAAGTGTTTAGTAACTAAATCCTAAATTATTTTTTAACAGGGTAATGCATAGAGGTTATTTGCGTTTCAGCAGAAGGAGCAACTTATTCTAAATGAACTCGGAAAATCACCTATCAAGATATCAACTGAAAAGAAAATTCATATTCTGAAATCATGGATAAAATAGTACTAAACAAATGACAGGGAATCACCAGTAATTTATGCAGAGTAGCATGACAAAAGTTACCTTGCACTAGACAGTGCTTATTACTTTAAAAGGATGATGAGGAAAGCTCTAGAGAAAACCTTAGAGAAACTTGTTTCCTGCCTGGACATTTCTTCCAGCAAGTTGCATGACCTTGGAAAAGATACATAAATTCTTTGGGCCTCAATTAGGATTGATTTCTAAAATACTTCTAGCTTCAAATTATTATGATATTATTTAAATTCTAAAAACATCTTTTACCTATACAGAAGTTAAGAGGGATGTAATTTATAGCAGAGCTTATAAAATCAAATGTTTTTGATGATCTCAGCTTCAATATAACATTACCCCTACTTTAAGTTAATTTGTGCAAGGCTATTTCAGACATAAGAACTGAATAAAGAGAATTCTGATGGTTTAAAAAACAGAGAATCTGGTATTAGTTGACTTGAATTTAAGACCCTACTTGACTTTTCCCAGTTGTTAGAACTTGAGGAAACTTTTTCTCTTTTCTTTTTATCTTACCTATAAAAATATATAGATGGGGGGTGGGAGAATCATTACAATAAATATTCCTTAAAGACCTTTTCACAGTTTTATTATATTGTTGGAGAATGGCAAGACATTTCAACACAATCACTGTCTCTGAAGGTTAAAGAAAGAAAATAACTAAATATTACTGTAAAAAAGGAATCAGTCACAGCTCCAAAGGGGAATGGAGAAGGTGTCCTGTGATCCACTAGAGAGAGGCTGGGACTGCAAGAGGGGTCAGGTCTGATTAGGAAGGAGCTAGAAACCACTCCTAGGAAGCAAAATTATATAAGCAAATTTTAACTTAGTCCTCCACCAAGGATGCCTGTATATATATTGAGTCTATATTTAGCAAGTCTCCACTTGCTCTGCCTGTCAAGCTTTTCCCATTTCCTCTGTGGCCCGGTCTGCTCTCCTTCATGAGGCCAGTTTCTTTCCATCCTTTAGGGTTCCATTTGATGCCAGCTTAACAGAGAAGCTTTCCAAAAGTCGCTTTTTCTTAATTATTGCCTAAGTCCTTTATTAGTTTTATTTTCTTTTGATATATAAATATATATATAGAACTTTTGAGCTATATATATAGCTATATATATATTTAGCTACATATTTATATAGCTCAAGTTATATATGTTATATATATAGCTCAAAAGTTATATAATATGTTATATATATAGCTCAAAAGTTATATAATACAAATGTTATAATATATATTAGTATGCACTGTAATATATAGTAGTTATGTAATATAACACTTTCAAATCTAACCCAAACTTTTCTTCTGAAGTGAAGCTTTGTATGCCTTTCACTTAGATATCTCACAGCTATTTTTGACCTCACTCCTGTCCAAAATCAGACTGACTTGATGTGTCCTCTCAACCCTGTTTTCTGAGTGTTGCAATTCACCTGGATGCTCCAACTAGAAATTCCTGGTTTCTCATTTTTCCCTACTCACTCCTGAAATCTAATCCATGAGCAGGCTCTAGTAGTACACCTCTAAAGTGTCTTGAGTGACTGAACATTCCCCCATCATCACTGCTACTTTCTAGTCAAAGTCACTGTCATCTCTTCTCCAGTTATTCCAATAGACAGCTTCCATCCTTTTTTTACCCTAACCACAATATATCCTCTCTCTGACAGTTGGAATAAACTTATAAAAATCTAAACAGGACTGTCATTATTCTAACTAAAGCCTTCCAGAGGATTCCCAGTGCATGTTGTCTACCACACACTTCAAAACCCCTTATGATTTAGCACTGGCCTCTCTCCTCCTTCACCCCAGCTGGCTCTGCTTCTTGATCAGTTTCCTTCAAAAGCTCCAGATCCTGGAATAGAGTCATCTCATTTCCCCCTTCGAGGTTTTGTACAGACTCCACTTGCCCTGCCTGGCAAGCTTTTCCCATTTCCTCTGTGGCCTGGTCTGCTCTCCTTCATGTGATCAGTTTCTTTCAATTCTTCAGGGTTCTGTTTGATGCCGGCTTGACAGAGAAGCTTTCCAAAAATCACTTTTTCTTACTTATAACCTAAGTCCCTTATTAGTTTTATTAGCCATCTAGTCCTTTATTAGCCATCTGATATGGCTCATACCAGAATATACAATTATTTAAATTATTCATCTGTTTATTTTTAATCTTTCTTTCCCGCCAGAATATTGAACTCCTAATACAGTGTCTAGTATACAATAGGCACATGGTAAATATTTGTTAAACGAATTCATTGAGTGTCGGGGAACTTTCCCATCAGTTCAATTTTCTGGGGAAAACCGTTGGCAAAATTAAATGGCTTTATGGTCATTTTCTCTGGTTTCTTTGTCAGGTTTATTCCACAAGGCAGAGGAAACTTGAAATATCATAACTGAGAAATTGTTGTTCATGTATTTTCTTATTACTTTGGTGATTTGAACTTATATCTTTATTTCACATGATTCAGTGGTTTAAAATCTATTTTGTGTAGATATTAGACCATATTTTATACCTAAAGTTTTGAAAAATCTGACATTAGTATCCTCAGCATTTCTTGATGATTTTCCATTTTCATTTGTTTTTTTAAATAAATTTACTGCAGTTCAGAGTTGCTGATCAGTTTCACTTACACTGTGAAAGCTCTGAGAAGATTACTGGATGTTTTAAACATAAATATATGTAGTAGTGATACAGGATCATACGACAATGTCACCCAGCACTTTTAACACATTATGTAATTGCGTTTATAGGTTAGAAATCAGTTTTCTAAGTAGACTGCGCAATAAAATAAAACTTGCTTTAATTTGAATATTAAGTAATTTCATTTAATTCAGAGAACACTGTTTCCAGCAATAGAAAGTGAAACTTTTATTTAGTACTGCTTTGATGAAGTTGTATCAACACTTATAAGTTAATCACAATCTAATTTTAGGTCATCTTATATTCTCAAATAAGTAGTTTTTGTATCAATCCTGCTGTAAATTAAAACGAGTGAAGGAACAAAGAGTGAAACGAATTAGCCTTCTGGTCAAGGAAAGGAACAAGTCAACAGACCCACTTACTTTGATTGATCAATGTTTTATTTTGCTTCAGGGTTTCAAACCAAGTGATTGGATTTATATAACATAGTACTTTCATTTGTATTAAGAGCAGCTGGGAGCACATACAATTTTTTACATGAACTCTTCTCCAAAAATTTTTTTTTAATTACTAATTAAAACTAATACTCAGAGTAAGTTGCAGAAAGCTGTTAAGAATTCATTAACTCCTGTATTCTAAGTAGGATCTGCTTACGAGCTGTAAAACAAAAACAAAAACAAAAAACAAAACAGAACAAAAAAAAACAGGGTTTAACCTGCAAAAATTGCCTGAGGCATATCAAATTTATAAGAGTGATAGTAAGTAGTCAGAGGAAGTTTGCTTAGTCAATTTATATTTGGATTTGGAAAAGATAAAACATTATTTTCTATCATCGTATGATAATTTTACTATTTAAAAATAGAATTCAATTTATTGTGAATTCTATTTTATTTATGTTGTTCAGAATAACATTTATTGTGAAAGGCTTAGAGGTGAACTTGATCACAGATATCTGCAAAAACAAACAAACACTCAGGTTACAGAATGTGGCAAAAGACTGAATATAATACAAGGTGAGAATTATTCCCAACACAGCTGCTAGAGTGGTCTTTTGAAAAGATGAGTCAGATCCTGGCACTTCTTAGTTCAAAACCCTGCTAGGCATGGCTCCTCCTCACACAGAGTCAAAGCCAAACTCCTCAAAGGGAACTTCAAGGCCTCATGTGATCTGTGCCCCTCCTGTGATCTGTGCCCCTCCTGTGATCTCTGCCCCTCCTGTGATCTCTGCCCCTCCTGTGATCTGTGCCCCTGTAGCCTCTCCGCAGCTACAGCAACCCCACTTCCCTCTCGCCCCACTCCTTACCTCTCCTCCTCCCTCAATCCCCATCAGATACAGGGTCTCCCTGCTATATGAATGTACCAGGCACACTCCCACCTGAAAATCTTCATATCAGCAACTTCTTCTGCCAGAATTATCTTCACAAAGCTAATCCCCCACTCTCTTTATGACTTTATTCATGTCATCTTCTCAAGGATCATCCTAACCACCACAAGTTGCAACCTGCCCTGCCCTTATGCATTCTTAACCCCTATTCTCTGTTTGACTTTTTCCTTTTTACTTTCATGACTTTTATTGCCTTCCAACATGTTATACAATTTACTTCTTTTTCACATTTGTTATTTATTATCTGTCTCCCCTCATCGGAATGTAAACTTCGTGAGAACCGAGGCCTTTGTCCCCAAACACCTGCAAGAGTACTCCATATGTAGTAGTAGGCATTCAGGGCATATTCGTTGAATGAATGAAATAATACATCTATAATTTTTCTCAAGTTAGAAAATGAAGTCTGTGGGAGAACACAGCCTGAATCAGGATTAAAAGCCAGGAAGAACTAGAGAGGATAAAGAACCCAAGGGAAATGAGGAAAGACAAAGCAATTCTCAAATGAGAAAATGAGAAAGTTTAGGGACTCTAGTTAGCCCAAACTGTTTTTGTTTGTTTGTTTGTTTGTTTGTTTTGAGATGGAGTCTTGCTCTGTCACCCAAGCTGGAGTGCAGTGGCTCACTGCAACCTCCACCTCCCAGGTTCAAGTCATTCTCCTGCCTCAGCCCCCTGAGTAGCTGGGATTACAGGCACCCACTACCATGTCCAGCTAATTTTTATATTTTTGGTAGAGATGGGGTTTCACCATGTTGGCCAGGCTGGTCTCAAACTCCTGACCTCAGGTGATCCACTCGCTTTGGCTTCCCAAAGTGGTGGGATTACAGGCACGAGCCATCGCACTGGCCCAAACTGGTCTTCTTCTGTATTTATTTTAATTTATTCTGTACATTCCATAGTAACCTATTTGATATCAGAAAGTCTGTAGTAACATTTTTGACTCCAGGAAGCATTTTCCATGATAGTGCTGAAGATGGTTTCTTAGTAAGAGAAGACTAAAAGGAAAGTGAGGCTGTATCATCTGGCTGCAAACCAGCAGTCCTAATGGCAAGATGCCCTGGAGCCAATGAACCATTGTGAATCTGTAGTATTTTCCTCAATAACACAGCTCTAGGGATTTCGTTAACCAGTAAAAACAATTTTCTTTGCATCCAAATTGGCATGTTATCCATCAATGGGATTTCTGTGTGAAGCTTGAAGATACTCTTTATCATTTTATTTCTCTAATTAGAATTGCTGCTTAATCAAAAAAATGACTTTAACTTTAAAATTAGGATAAATTTAGAGGATGAGTTCTATAATATGCTTTCAATATGAAAATTACTCATTTTCTGAATATCAGTGAAGTTACAATTTCCTTTTTAGATATACTTAATAAAAATGAACTAAGGTCCCTAGAAATCTCATGAATCGAGTAGGCAGGCAATACGAGAGAGAAAAGACTAATGGACAGGCAAGATTCTAATACTGGTGACAATAATGCAGGTATTCTGCTGTTTTGACAAATTACAGCTTTCTTCCTCAAAATTCCATTCTCTTTCTCTCGTCTCATCATTGCCTGCCTATAAATTTATTTGTACAAATAAATTTGTATAAATGTCTTGGCAATACATTAATTTATTAATTATACTCAGAAGTAACTCTAGGCAAAGAGGTATGTCAGGGAAGTTTCATTGCATACGGATTCCAGAACTTTCTAGCATTTGGACCTGTGATTGTATCACTACCTAGGGCAGAATTTTACCAGCCAGAGATGTACTGCCATCAGCTCTTGCTCTCAACTGATTTTTATAAAAAATAAAATTTATGGCTTGAATATGTTTCAAATGATGCATATTAATTACAAACTATTCATTTGCAAAGACACTTATATCAGGGATTACTCTAAAAACAGGATTTAAATTTACCATATTTTTCTAATAATTCTAATATTGAGAGAAGGCAGACAATGTAAATTTCCTACTCCTATTTTAGATAATACCAAGTGACATTTTCAAATAACCTGCAAACAATTAAATGATTAATTCAACCCGTGGTTCATTCTTTTCTCTTCGGACTTCATGATTGCTAGTGTGAGAACAGATTTATTGATGGAGATTTACACAGCATGATACAAGTACTGAATAAGGTATCAACTAATTTGGAAACATCGTTGATCACATTCAATAAGGTTAAGTATTGGCCTGATAGCCAATAATTGGCAATAGACAAGTATTGAGGATTGGTCTAGGGGGGCTTCTAAATGATCTTAATTTTGTGTTGATAAATGTGAAAGGAAAATAAAAACTTGGGACCCCAATTCACATGCCACAAAGAAAGAAATTAAGCTGAAACCTGGGTCATGCAAAAAACGGCCTTTTCTTGTGTTCTTAAACAGATAGCTACAGATAAAAGGTTAAAGATATCCACTAGTAGCTACTTTATATTCATCTTATCTGATGTAAAGTGCTGATTTACTGAGCACCAGATGAACACATTATTGGCTATTCCCCTACCTACTCCTTTTCTCATGCATTATATGGATTACAATATCCTTCCTCTTTTCTCTCCAGCCGAATTTTCCTTTTAAATATTTAAGCCCTCAAATTCCTCTTTGGAGAAAAGCACAGACCACAGACTGTTTCTGTGATTCCTTGGGATTTTTGTTTGTTGGTTGGTTTTTTTGTTTTTTGTTTGTTTGTTTGTTTTTTCTTTTTTGAGATAAGGTCTCACTATGTCACCCAGGTTGGAGTGCCATAGTGTGATCTCACCTCACTGTGTGATCTCAGCTCATAGTGTGATCTCAGCTCACCTTGGCCTCCCAGACTCAAGCGATCCTCCCACCTCAGCCTCCTGAGTAGCTGGGACCACAGACATGTGCCACCACATCTGGCTAATTTTTTGTATTTTTGGTAGAGACGGGGTTTCAACATGTTGCTGTATGCAAGTTGGTCTCGAACTCCTGAGCTCAGGCAATCTACCTGCCTCCGCCTCTGCCTCCCAAAGTGCTGGGATTAAAGACATGAGCCACTGTGCCCAGCCTCGTGTTTGTTTTTTTGTTTGTTTGTTTTTTCCAGGCATGTCCTTAACCTTGGCAAAATAAACTTCTAAATTGACTGAGACCTGTCTCAGATACTGTTTCGGTTTACATAAGAAATAAACAATTAACTATAAAGATAGATTAAAAATATAGTAAGTACTATATATATATAGTAATTATATATATATCCTATTGTGGTTTTATATATATCCTAATTTTATACACACACACACACACACACACACACACACACACACACACACACACAGCTCCTATTAGTTCTGTCCCTCTAGGGAACCCGGACTAATACAGGGACTATCAGATGATTGGCACCTACAACAATACAGCTTGTATCCCATCATCAATTACTTTTATTCCCTTAGTTTCTGGCATCCTTTACATGAGACTGTCAGGCTTCCATTTAACAAGATGTGGAACAAACCCAGGGGTCTGGCAGGGACATTACTCTAATGTGGAAAGTTGAGGGTTTTTTCTTTTCTTTTCTTTTTGTTTTTTGTTTTTTTGTTTTTGAGACGGAGTCTCACTCTGTCCCTCAGGCCAGAGTGCAGTGGCGCGATTCGGCTCACTGCAAGCTCCGCCTCCCGGGTTCACGCTATTATCCTGCCTCAGCCTCCCAAGTAGCTGGGACCATAGGCGCCTGCCACCACACCTGACTTTTTTTTTTTTTTTTTTTTTTTTTTTGTATTTTTAGTAGAGACGGGGTTTCACCGTGTTAGCCAGGATGGTCTCGATGTCCTGACCTCGTGATCCGCCCGCCTCAGCCTCCCAAAGTGCTGGGATTACAGGCGTGAGCCACCGCGCCCGGCCAAGTTTTTTCACCACGCCCGGCCAAGTTGTTTTTTTTTTTTCCAACTCCTTAAACAAACGATTTCTGAATTGTGCGAACACGTGAATGCTTTATCTTCAATGCTTTGTCATGTTATGATTCAGAATTATGTATTGTACACACAATTCTAGGCATATAAATAGTAACTAAAGCATATATCTTTTATTTATTCATTCAATAAAAAATTATTGAAAGTTTATGATGATATAGGCACCTTGTGCTTAGTATAAAATGGGGATCAAGCTATAGAAACTCTGCCATCAGAGAATTGTGTAGTTAATGGGAGAGACAATATTTGAATAGTATACAAATAAATCTTAAACTTCAGCTGTGAAAACTGATAAAATAGATACTTGGAGAACTAAGAGAACATGTAGCTGTCGGTTAAGCTATGTTGATATATTCAGTCACTAGAACAAGAAGCATCCACATATTTGGGACTGAAAGATTATTTAACCTGTAGCCCAGGCAGATGTTGGTTTCACTATTTAGACTTTTTTCTTTCTTGTGCTAAATAATTCCACACCAAGAACAACGTGTATTTATTTATTCTTCCTAGTTTCAGGCCCTGACCTCATAAGGCACAACTACAATTAAAGTTAAAATATTGGAACAGTGCCTTTGCTTGGAATTTGCAGTCACAACATTTGTCCAACATCGTTCAATACATGGCGGAAGGAAACGCCATAGAAACTGCAGCATTGAAAAAAACTTGAGAGAAGAATTGCACGATGATATTTATTCTTGAAAAATACTTGTGAAAGGAAAGGTTTATGTTTCCACGGCAACAAACTTTGTTGAGTACACTGAGCTCTGTTAAAAATAAAGAAAAGGAGAGAAATAGAAGTGAAGGACAGAGTATGGTCTAATGTGGCAAAATAAGGAATTCTGAAGTCAAGAACATTGCAGGAGGAATAAAAAAAAATCCCCAGTTGATCATGGGTTCTGGTTTTCTTTAAATTTTAATTAATTAATTAATTTTAAACCTCATTTTATTGTGGCAAGAACTTAACAAAAGATCTATCCTCTCAACAATTTTTTGGGGGGTGGGCATTCACTCATTTTTAGTTTTTTTTAATAAATATATTTTTCTTTCAATAGCTTTTGGGATACACGTGGTTTTTGGTGACATGGATGAATTATTTAGTGAAGTCTGAGATTTTACTGAACCCATCACCCGAGTACTGTACATTGTACACAATACGTAGGATTTTTAAAAATCACACCCCACCCTTTCCTCCTTCCCTGAGTCTCCAATTTCCATTATACCACTCTGTATGCCTTTGTGTACCCATAGTTTAGCTCCCACTTATAAGTGAGAACACATGGCATTTGGTTTATCATCCCCAAGTTACTTCACTTAGAATAATGGCCCCCAGCTCCATCTAAGTCACTGCAAAAGACATTATTTCACTCTTGTTATGGCTGAGTAGTATTCCATGATATATATGTACAACATTTTCTTTATCTACTCCTTGGGTGATGGGCACTTAGATTGGTTCCATAGCTTTGGGACCAAAAATTATGCTGTGATACACATACGTATGCAGGTGTCTTTTTGATATAATGACTACTTCTTTTGGGTACTCAGTAATGGGATTCTGGATCAAATAGTTGATCTAGTTTTAGTTCTTTGCCTCTCAACAAAGTTTAAGTGTATAACACATTATTAACTGTAGGCACAGTGTTGTACAACATATCTCTAAAACTTATTCATCTTGTACAATTGAAACCTTATGACCATTGATCAGTAACTCCATATTTCCCCATCCTTCAGTCTATTCTGATTTTATGTGGTTCACTATCTAAATTACCTCATATAAGTGACATAGTGCAGTATTTGTCCACCAATAGCTGGCTTATTATGCTGAGCATAATGACTTCAAGGTTCATCTACACTGTTACATATTGAAGGAATTCCTTATCTTTTTAAGGCTGAATAATACTCCACTGTATGTATGTACCATATTTTCTTTATCCATTCATCCATGAATAGACATTTAGATTGTTTCCACATCTTGGATATTGTGAATAGTGCTACAATGACCATTGGAATGGTAATATCACTTAAACATACTGATTTTAATTATTTTGATAAATATCCAGAAGTGGGATTGCTGGACCACGTAATAATTTTATTTTGAATTTTTGAGGAATCTTTGAATTGTTTTTCATAGCAACTGCATCTTTTTGCTTTATGACCAAGAGTGTACAGGAGTTCCAATTTCTTCACATTTTTGCCAACATTTATCATCTTTTTTAAAAAACCATCCTACCAGGTGTGAAGCGATCTCATTGTGATTTTGATTTGCATTTACCTGATCATTTAAGCAGCCATTTTAAAAATTGGATTGTTATTCTTGTTGCTTTTGTTTTTCCTTATATATTTTGGAAATTAACACCTTATCTAATACCTAGCTTACAGATATTTTCTTCCATTCTGTAGGTTGCCTTTTCACTCTGTTCATTGTTTCTTTGGCTATACAGAATCTTTTAGTTTATATCTTTTTAATTTTATACGAGTTTAACTTGTCTACTTTGCTTCTGTTGCCTGTGTTTTTGGTGTCATATCCATGAAATAACTGCCAAGACCAATGTCATATAGCTTCTTCTTTATTTATTTCTAGGAGTTTTAAAGTTTTGAGTCTTACATTTTTAATTAATTTTGAGGGTTTTTTTATGGTGTATGATGTGGGTCCAATTTCACTATCTTCTATGTGGATAACCAACACCATTTTGGAAGAGACTATCCTTTCTTTATTGCATATTCTTGGAACCTAAGTTGAAGATCAATTGACTATACATGCAATCAATTTCTGGACTTTGTGTTCTGTTTCATTTTTCCACGTGTCTATATTTATGACATTATCATACTGTTTTAATTACTATTGCTTTGTACTACATTTTGTCTTTTTTTTATTCCTTTTTGTGGAGAATGGGTCTTGCTATATTGCCCAGGCAGGTATCAAACACCTGGGCTCAAGCTATCATCTCGCCTCTGCCTCCTTAAGAGCTGAGATTACAGACGTGGGCCACGTGCCAGCAATTTCTACTATATTTTGAAATCAGGAAGTCTGATGCTTCCAGTTTTGTTTTTCATTATCAAGGTTGTTTTGAATATTTAGGGTTTTTTGATTTCACATAAATTTTAGGATTGTCCATTTTTTAAATGTCATTGGGGTTTTGATAAGAATTACATTTTATCTGTAAATTGCTATGTGTAATGTGAACACTTTAACAATATTAAGTCTTCCAATCTATGAACACTGATTTCTTTCTGTTTGCATGTGTAGTCTTCAATTTCATTCATCAATGTTTTGTGGTTTCTGTGTACAAGTGCTTTGCCTCCATTTAGATTTTTGCTAAGTATTTTATTCATTTTGATGGTATGGTAAGTGGAATTGTATTCTTAATTTTTGAAGAAGTTAGTTTGTTCTTAGTTTATAGAAAAGCAACTAATTGTGTGTGCTCATTTCGTATCTTGCAAATATTCTGGATTATTAGTTCTAACAACTTTTTATGGAGGTTTTAGAATTTTCTACATCATGTCATCTGTGAATAGCAATTATTTTACTCCTTGTTTTTTTTGGATGTCTCTTTTTTTTTTTCTTGACTAATTGCTCTGTCTAGAATTTCTGGTAGTATCCTTGCCTTCTGATCTTAGAGGAAAAGCTTACAGTTTTTCACCACTTATTATGAGGTTAGATGTGGGCTTGTCATATACGGCCTACATTATGTGGAGGTACATTCCATCTATAAATAGTTTGCAGAGTGTCTTTTTAATCATACAAGGGTGTTCATTTTTGTCAAATGGTTTTCTGTATCAGTTGAAATGATCATGTGATTTTTTTTCTTTCAATCTGTTAATGTGGTACGTCACATTAATTGATTTGCACGAGTTAAACCATACTTGCATCCCAGGGAGAATTCCCACTTGATCATGGTGTATGGTTCTTTTAAAGTGCTGTTGAATTCAGTTTGCTAATATTCTGTTGAGGATTTCCCTATCTATATTCATTAGAGATATTGGCCTGAAGTTTTGTTTTCTTGAGGTACGTTTTTCTCACTTTAGTATCAGGGTAATGCAGGCCTGATGAAATGACATCGGTAGTATTCCTTCTATTTCTGTTTTTTGAAAGACTTGGAGAAGGATTGGAATTATTTCTTCTTTAAATGCTGATAAATTGACCAGTGAAGCTATCTGGTTCTGGGCTTTTTTTTTGTTGGGAAATTTTTGATTACCAATTCAATCCCCTCTGATTGAATATAGATTGATTCAGACTTTTTATTTCTTTATGATTCAGCCTAAGTAGGTTGCCTGTTTCTAAAAATTTATTCACTTCTAGGTTACCCAGTTGGCGGACATAAAATTATTTATAGTAGCCTCTTATGATCCTTTTTATTTCTGAGGCATCTGTGGTAATGTCTCCGTTTTCACTTCTAATTTTATTTACTTGAATCTTCTCTCTTATTTTCTCGGCTAATTAATGGCTTTTAAATTTTGTTTATCTTTAACAAAAACCAACTCTTAGTGTCATTGATTTTTCTATTGTTTCTCTAGTCTCATTTGTCTGTTTCTTCTCTAGTCTTTATTATTTTCTCTCATGTGCTAATTTTGGCCTTAGTTTTTGCTGCACTTTTTAGTTCCTCGAGGCATAAAATTAGATTTTTTATTTGAAATCATTCTTTGGTTTTAAATATATGCATATATCATATATATTAATACTGTGCTTGTATCATTCTTGGTACTATTACTGCTACAACCCATAAGTTTTGGCAAGTTGTATTTTCATTTTCATTTATCTCAAGATATTTTCTAATTTCCCTTTGATTTCCTCTTTGACCCCATGGCTGTTCAAAAGTGTGATGTTTAGTTTTTACATATTTGTGAATTTCTCAGTTTTCCTTCTGCCGTTGATGTCTAGTTTCAGTCAATTATGGGCAGAAAAGAAACTTGGTATGATTTCATTCTTTTAAAATTCCCTAAGAATTTTCTGTGAGCTTAAATGTGATCTCTGCTACAAACTGTTCCATGTGTGCTTTAAAAGAATGTATATTCTGGGTGGAATGTTCTGTATGGGTTTGTTAGGTCCATTTATTTTTAGGGTTGTTAATGTTTGCTATTAATCTGTTAACTTTCTGTCTGGCTGTTCTACCCATTATTGAAAGTGGGGTATTAAAATCTCTCTTACTATTATTTTATTGCTGTATATTTCTACCTGCAGTTCTGTCAATGTTTTCTTTACATATTTAGGTGCTCTGATGATGGGTGATATCTATTTATTATTATGTCTTCCTGTCAAATTTTTTCTTTTATTACTATATAATATTTCCCTTTGTGTATTGTGACAGTTTTGATTGAAAATCTGTTTTGTGTGATATAAGTATAGCCATTCTGCTCCTTTATGCTGTTGTTGTTCTCATTTCATGGGATATCTTCTCCATCCTTTAACAACCAGAGTGTGTGTCTTAAAATCTAAAATTAGTTACTTGTAGACAGCATAGAGTTGAATCTTGTGATTTTTGTTTGTTTGTTTTTGAGACAGAGTTTTGCTCATTGCCCAGGCTGGAGTGCAATGGCGCCATCTCGGCTCACTGCAACCTCCACCTCCCAGGTTGAAGTGATTCTCCTGCCTCAGCCTCCCAAATAGCTGGGATTACAGGCGCCTACCACCACACCAGCTAATTTTTGTATTTTTAGTAGAGACGGGGCTTCACCATGTTGGTCAGGTTGGTCTCAAACTCCTGACCTCAGGTGATCCACCAGCCTCGGCCTCCCAAAGTGCTGGGATTACAGGCGTGAGCCACCATGCCCAGCCTGAATCTTGTTTTTTAATGAATTCATCCACTTTATTTGATTGAGGAGACTTCATGAACATTTAAAATAATTATTAATAAAAATTTACCATTGCTACTTCAGTGTTTTTGTATATCTTGTAGTTGTTTTGTCACTCTCTCGTTTTCTTCCTTCGTGCTTTGCTGATTTTTTGTACTGATGTATTTTGATTCCTTTCTCTTTCTATTAGTGTATATTCTATATTTTCTTTGTGATTACCATAGGGCTTATAGAAAATATCTTACAGTTATAACAGTCTATTTTAAGGTTATAGCATCTTAAATTCAATTGCATACAAAAACCCTACACTGTTACTCTCCCTCATGACACCTTATGTTATTGATGTCACAATGCACATTTATTTGTATTGTGTATCCATCAACATTTTTGATATAGTGTTTTAATACTTTTGTCTTTTAACTTTTATATTAGAATTAAAAGTGATTTACACACCGCTATTACAGTAATATAGTATCCTGTATTTGTGTATATATTTAACTTACCACGTTTCTTATTTTCTATGCTATTTTATTGCTCTTTAGTATCTTTTTGTTTTGTCTTTAAAAGAAGTTTCTTTAACATTTTTCCCTCCACCCGCCACCACCCTGTCCTCCTGTAACCTTTAACATTTCTTGTAGGGCAGCTCTAGTAGTGATGAACTTTATTAGCTTTTATTTGCCTGAGAAATCTCTCTTCATTTTTAAGGGAGAGCATTGCTGAGGATAGTATTCTTGTTTGCAGTTTTCTTATTTTGGTTTGATTTCTTTTCTTTCAGCACTCAGAATGTATCGTTTCACTGCCTTTTGGTCTGCAAGGTTTCTGCTGAACAACTAGCTGATAGTTTTCATGGGGATTCCCTTATATGTGAAAAAAATGATTTTCTCTTGCTGTTTTCAAAATTCTTTTTGTCTTCAACATTTGACAGTTTGATCATAATCGAGTCCACTATGTACTTATTTGGGTTCTTGTTTGGGATCCTTTAGGCTTTCTGGATGTCTGTATTCATTTCCTTCCTCAGAATTGGGAAGTTTGGGGTCATTATTTCTTTCAATATGCTGTCTGGTCATTTCTTTCTCTGTTCCTTCTGCAGTCTTATATGGTTGTATTTGGTAAGCTGAATGTTGTTCATAAGTTCCCTGAATTTCTTTACTCTTTTTTTTTCTTTTATTTCTCCTCTGAATAATTTCTAATGACTTGTCTTTAAGTTTGCTAATCTTTTCTTCTGCTTCATCTAGTCTGCTTTTGAATTACTCTAGTGATTTCTTTGTTTATCATAATTTCTGCTTAGTATTTTTTAAGTTTTCTATTTGTTGAAATTCTAATTTTATTCATGCATTGTCCTCCTGACCTCAGTGACCATCTTTATGATGGTTATTTTTAATTCTCTATCTGCTACATCATATATCTCCATTTCACTAAGGTCAATTTCTAGAAATTTATATTTGTTCTTTGTTTGGAACATATTTATTTTGTTTCTTATTTTGTTTGACTCTCTGTGTTGGTGGCTGGGCATTAGAAAAACCACCCACCTGTCCTAGTGTTCACAAACTGGCTTCACAGAAGACCCTCCCCTATCAGCCTGGCCAGAGATTCATAGGGGCCCCTCAAACCTTCATGCTAGTCAAGTCTGCTTTCTTTGTTCTTAGTGACCCTGTCTAGAGTGCCAGGTCCACCAGCACTCTGAGAAAAGCAATACCAAAGTCAATTCCTCAAGAATCCTCCAGAAAAGTTGAGTCACTTGATGTTTTGTCCAATGTATTACCTCTGCCAGGAGAACCTAGAATCTGGGAGTTTTCATCCACTTTCTCTGTGATAAGCCAAAAACAGGGGCTATGGTAACCACCAACCCACAGCACTATCACTGCTCTTATGGTCCTGGGCCACTAGAGAATACCAGACCTCATCAGTGCTCTTAAGACAGCCTGGACAGAGCTGGACCCACTCCTACCTGGGTAGCTCCTAGAGGAGTTGGAACATTGGACATATGGTATACCTCCTCTCCTCCCCAGCAGGAAGCTTGGATGTGGGGAGATTCATCTCAATCATATAGTACTGTGCCAGTTTAGAAATTACGGAAAGAAGGTGTCTTGAACTTCCCAGCTATCTTTGATGTGGATGATTTTGCACTCACCTGGGGTATAAGAGCCTCTTAACAGTTTCTTGGTTTCTTATAAAGGGAATCTGTCCATGAACTGTTGTCAAATCAGTGTGTTTGTGGAGGGAAGGAGGGCCCAGGGCTTCCTATTTCACCATCTTGCGATGTCTCTTTTCTAAATTTGAGAACAATTGTTGAAAATACAAATGCCAATTGGAAAAGTATGTTATGTAAATGAGTAAAGCGGGCAGGTGTTAATGAGTAAAAAAGAGTCTTGGGCTCCAACCAAATGAGACAGCTACTACTTAACTCCAATCTCGT
This sequence comes from Homo sapiens, assembly GCF_000001405.40. Classification (NCBI taxonomy): domain Eukaryota; kingdom Metazoa; phylum Chordata; class Mammalia; order Primates; family Hominidae; genus Homo; species Homo sapiens. Next base: position 162,924,401 of record NC_000005.10, read on the forward strand.
GCAACCAAACCAGAAAGTCTATGCAGAAACATGAATTTCTGTGAGAGATAACCCAACATTAGTTTTCCCTTGCTGTCATAAATTATCACAAATTTAGGGGTTTAAAATAACACTCCTTTACTATCTCACAGTTCTGTAGGTCAGAAGTCCTGGTACAGCAGGACTGAGTCCTTTGCTGAGAGTCTTTCAGGTCTGAAATCAAGATATTGGCAAGTTATATTCCTTTTTCGAGGCTCCTAGGATGAATTTTCTTCTAATTTCATTCAAGTTTTACAAAATTCAATTCCTGTTGGTTGTAGGACTAAGTCCCTATTTTCTCTCTGGGGATAGTCTTTGCTACTCAAAGTTACCTTCAATCCTTCCCATGCTTTGCATATGACCTCCCTTGGGCAATGGTACTTTCAATCTCTCTTTAATGCTTTGGATAACTCAGACCTTCCCTGATACCACATCTGTGTGCCTTCAAGGTAAGTAAAATTTTTTATTTTTAAATGTTAATGTGATTAGATTGGGCCCACTTCAACTGGGAGATCTAGGACAATCTCCTTATTTTAAGATCTGGTCTGTACACTTAACTTTGTGAATAAAGTCCCATTTGCTACACAATGTAGCATATTCATGGGTTCTTGGCTTAGGGCATGGACATCTTTGGAGTGTCACTGTTGTGCCTCGCATAATCCCAAATTCAAAATATAAACAAATAATTATTAACACTACTTAGGCCAGAAGAAAAACATATCTGTGGTCTATATCCTGACTTAGGAACAAAATTTGGATCTCTAATTTAGGAGATAAATGTAACCAACAAGATCAATATTGTACTGTATCTTTTAAAGTAGAATGTTATTAAATTAACTGACATTAAGATAAACATATTATTAGGAAGAAAATTGGGCCAGGTGCGGTGGCTCACGCCTGTAATCCCAACACTTTGGGAGGTCGCAGCGGGTGGATCACGAGGTCAGGAGATCAAGACCATCCTGGCTAACACGGTGAAACCCTGTCTCTACTAAAAATACAAAAAAAGTTAGCCAGGCCTGGTGGCGGGCGCCTGTAGTCCCAGCTACTCAGGAGGCTGAGGCTGGAGAATGGCATGAACCCAGGAGGCGGAGCTTGCAGTGAGCCGAGATGGCGCCACTGCACTCCAGCCTGGGCGACAGAGTGAGACTCCGTCTCAAAAAAAAAAAAAAAAAAAAAAAAAGAGAAGAAAATTGATATTTGTATTAGCCCGTTTTCATGCTGCTGAAAAAGACATATGCAAGACTGGGAAGAAAAAGAGGTTTAATTGGAGTTACATTTCCACATGGCTGGGGAGGCCTCAGAATCATGCAAGGAGGCGAAAAGGCACTTCTTACATGGTGGAGGCAAGAGAAGACGAGGAAGAAGCAAAAGTGGAAACCCCGGATAGACCCATCAGATGTCATGAGACTTATTCACTATCATGAGAATAGCACGGGAAAGACCAGCCCCCATGATTCAATTACCTCCCCTGGGTCACTCCCACAACAACGTGGGAATTTTAGGAGATACAATTCAAGTTGAGATTTAGGTTGGGACACAGCCAAACAATATCAATATTCAATTTTACTTTCTTTGCTCCTGTATGCATTTGTTAATACTACATATAGGTCAAGGTCCTTTAGCATTGAATTACTTAATATTTGAATAATTAATAATCAGTATTTGTTTACAACTTTCCTCACATTTGTAACACTCTTAGAATTTACGCTTGGTCAAAGATAGTTAAAACAAGTTGTTTTCTTGCTGAACTCAATTTACACAATATATTAAACATTTTTAATTGGGTCAAAAAAAACAGAAATAATATTAACCTACAAAGTAATTTGTCATTTGTTTATTCTCATTAGTTCTACAATAACATAATCCATAGAACCACATGAAAATATATTGGCATTAAAAACTTTAACATTTTATTTATATTTTATATCTTTAAACTAAATGTTAATACAATTTTTAATGCAGATAATTTTAAAAGGAAAACAAACAGTGGTATTGGAAAAGGCTGGCAAGAGAATTGCAACATCTATTTACCAATTTGCCCACACTATAGTCAGTTGCCTTAAAACGTCTCTTAACATTAATATAATAGAAGGCAGAGGTGTAGACTAGACAGATAGACCTTGGTTTGGGGCCAGGATAAGGTGCTATCTATTTGGCTAACTCCATACAAAATAGTAAACTCTTTCAGCCTCAGTTTTCTGCTGTAAAATAATTTGTAAAATAAGTTTATCTATTTTGCATTGGTTGTTATGAGAAGTAAGTGAAATAATTCAGATGGAGTGCTTAGACAATGCATGACACAGTACACTGTCAGCAAAATATTAACAGAATTCTAGTTTGGGTTCTAATAATATATTTGGTTCATACAGAGTCTTCTATTCAGCTTACTAATTCTCCTTGAAGCAAATCTTTTTAGATTTATTAATTGTATTTCTAATTTCTGAATTCCTTTTCAAAACTCAACCTGCTATTATTGTACTGTCACATTTTTAGATACAGAGTTAAGAATCTACACTATTGTGTTTAAGATTGGTTTAGTTAATTATAGTCATTAATGTTATATTTATAAAAAATAATCAGGCCAGGCCTGGTGGCTCATGCCTGTAATCCCAGCACTTTGGGAGGCTGAAGTGGGCAGATCACAAGGTCAGGAGATTGAGACCATCCCGGCTAACACGGTGAAACTCCGTCTCTACTAAAAATACAAAAAATTAGCCAGGTGTGGTGGCACGTGCCTGTAGTCCCAGCTACTCAGGAGGCTGAGGGAGGAGAATTGCTTGAACCCAGGATGCGAAGGTTGCAGTGAGCTGAGATCGCATGACTGCACTCCAGCCTGGGTGACAGAGCGAGACTCCATCTCAAAATAAATGAATAAATAAATAAAATCATAAAGACAAAATAGAATTTAAAAGTATTAATAAAATATGAAATAAAAATATAAAGTTAGACATAAATGTAATTATATATAAATTTAGACAAGACAAAGGAAAATAAAAATAATTTTGTTGGGAATAGTAACAAATTGTTTTATTGTTTTGCTTTTTTGGTAGTGTATGCCATGTTTGTAATTTAAAAAGTTGTTAAAAATCCTCAAGGATCGACAACATGCTTTTAACATGTGTATATAGTCTCCTAATACATTTACAGATGGGAGCATTACTTACAAATAGAATTTTTAAAGTTAGAAGTGATCTTTGAGATCATCAGGCTAGGCAGTTTCCACACTGGGTGGTTCATGGCACCTTGGATGTAATCAGAGGGCATAGTTGCTATGAAGTATAGGATAAGCAGGCAGGGGCTCAGGCATCTTCAGATCTACTTCCATTAATACAGTGTCACTATTATGTATAAAATAATGTATTAAACTATAACTACAACATTTGTATGTATTTATTGTAAGAAATGTTCCTATTGCTTAAGAAAACAAACAACAAAAAGTCACAATTCCTTCAAGTGGAAGAAATAGTCATACTCACCAAATGTTTCATTTGCTCCCCTATATTTCTCAGCTCTTTTAAAGTTGCAGGAAGCCAATGGCTGTTTCTCACAAATGAGATGTGAGCAGAAGTGATACATGTCACTTCTGAGATAAGGTAGTTAAAAGCTTATGCTGAGCTCTCCAATCTCTCTTTTCCAATGATGAGGCAAGTGTAGAAGGCTAATATTCACAATGGTTCAACTTTAAGAGAAGCAACCCTCCATCTGCTGGCTTCTGAGTGACAATGTGAAGCAGAACCCTCTGCCCACCAACATGTAGATATAAACTGAGTAAGAAGGAAATCTGATTATATTAAATCACTGAATTAATGGGGTTACTTGTTACTTCTAGATAACCTAACTTATCCTTACTAATGCACCTCATTTTAAAGATGCAAGACAGGGTTGCAGATAGTGGGAGTAAGGTTACTGAGATGTGAACTAAAACTCAGGTGTCCTGACACTTCAGTGCAAAGCTCTCTTTATGCCAATCTATTTGGCTTCAATGTCCACAACAGAATAATAAACCATGATGTGGGATGGTCTTAAAGATCACCTAATCCAAACATTTCTAAATTCAAAATAACAGAAGATCATCCAGATGTTTCCGGAAAACAATGATGGACATCTCACCATTTCCAGAGTTGGTCCATTCCTTTTTGAGAGTTGCCATTATAAGCAATTCCTTGTCTAAAGATACGGCATTGTAAACATTGTAGCAAAGAAACGAATGATTCATTCAACAATTAATTTTTGAGCTCTTACTTTGTGATAAGCATTGTAGTTATATAGGTACAAAAGCACTGATGAGCAAACACAGATATGATCCCTGCTTTCGTGTAGCTTGCAGGCCAATGAAGTGACCTGCAATGAAGTGACCTGCCAATGTTCATAAAATAGTCATAAACATGAATCTGTGATCACAAAATTTCATAAGTTCTACAAATGAAAAATCTCTTAGTATCATGGTAGACAAAACAGTGGCCCAACTTAGTCTGAGGCACTTAAGTAGGAGAAGAGAAATGTGGCAAGGACAACATATACATTTCTAGTTTTCCCACCTTGATAGATGAGAGCATCATTGGCTGAAATGAAGACACTGGATAAACACCTGGTTTAGAGAAGTGAAGGTAGTGATGTTATAGAAAGAATGGGTTCCATTTCAGAACATCTGAAGTTAGAGATGTGGATATAACATCCATACACAAACATATACATGAGGATGAGAGAACACTTTGAAGGAGTGACTATCTCTGCATAAAAACCGAAACAACTAAAAAAGAAAGAGCTAGAAAATGACAGTGTTTCACTTAGCTGAGAGCACAGACCCTCCCTGCCCATTCATTTTTAAGTCATTGGCAACACAGGCAGACTGCTGCAGCTGAGGTCCCACAGCTGTTGCTCTGGTCTCCTTTACTTTCACACTTGCCAATGGTGCCAGTCTGTAGGGTGATCAACCCTGTCAGTGCAGTCCTTAAAGAGCAGCTTGAGTCAGGAAGGAGAGGTGGCTGACCTTCCAATTCACACCTTCTCCAGCCATCCCTCGACCAGTTTTCCAGTGCTAAATAAAGTGCTCCCCTCTGAATTTTGGAATTCACCCAAAAGGATTATAAAACCTTCTATCTTGTGGCAGCACAAACGTATCATTTATGAAGATCCCTAGAAAAACTACTCAGCTACCACTACTTGTCAATCAATTATAATTTTCTATTTTTAAGAGATAAAAAAGCCCATAAAATGTTTGCTACTAGAAAATTTAGAAAGCAATCAATGGGTCCTAAATCTGAATCAAAGAAGTTTCATAAACATGGGATTTACATCTACCAACAATCAGAGTTTTGGAAGCCAGCTGTCAGTGACTAGCTATATTGCCTCAAGCAAGTAATCTCATCATTCTGGGTCTCAGTATTATTATCTATAAAATTAGACTAATTACCAGTTTGGGGTTTTTGTGATTGTGAAGCAGGTTTACTGTGCACTGGTTACTAACTTTTCTGAATCTGATAAGAAAGAACACAGTTAAATGAAACAAGTTACATGAGGCAGATTTATTACTTACAAATAGGCATCAAACAACAACCGAAGCCTAGGATTTACTGTGAACTGGTCCCCTAAGGCTCAGGAAAGCTGCTTGGGGTTTAGACCACACATTCCCCACTTGCACTATAGCTGAGGGACCCCCAAAAGCAGCCTACCTTGGGTTTTAACCCCTGGGGGCAACATGACCCCCTGGGCTAAAGCTTTGAAGGATATCTTGTTTCTACAGGGGGACTGGTAATTGGCGTGCACTGTTGTGGCCAGTTCCCCCTTACCTCAGGATGTTGTATTCCCAGCATGCTCTACAGTTATTCTTGAGAACAAGCATGAAAGTGGGAAGAACTGAGTTGATTCAAGGCCACCCAGAGAATTGTCCTACGGCGATGACTGTAATTAATATAAGGGCTTATGCATGTGTGGCATTTGGAAACTTAATACATTTATAATTCATATTATTTTATATGCTAATTTGTTTCTGCCTAATCATATAAAAAATAATAGTTCCCATTTACTAAGTGCATACTGTGTATCAGGCACTTTTCTAAGAGCTTTATGAGTACCAGTTCATTTAGTGTTCACAAAAATCTAGGAGGTACCTACTATTAATAACCTCGTTTTTTCAGACAGTGAAATACAGATTGTTGCTTACTCAATATTACATAGGTTATAAACTAGGGCAGTAGAGTGTGAATGTAAGCAGTCAGGTTTGAGAATCCACACTTATATTCATTAAAGCTACAGTGCCAAGGATGCAAGATTGAAATGTCATTAAGAGGCAGGTATACCTATGTATTGCCCACCTCTTTTCTTAGAATCAAGGTTAATGCTTGAAAATGATTTTATTAAATTGCAAGTACACCCTTCCTCAGCTTGGCCGGATGAATAGAAATTCATGTTGGAGGGAGAGATGAAAGAGGTAGAGAAAAGATTTGTGGGAAGTTAGTAGGCAGAATGAATATTTTGACTTGTTAAAGACAAGGTGATGGCTTCAAAAGCACATTGAACTGGAAGCCAGGAGAAAAGGCTATATAACGTTTCACATCACATAACCTATCCCTGCCATGGTATTCTCATCTAAAATGAGGACTTGGGCTTAAATTCAGACTCAATTAAATTAGATGGATAGCCTTTAAAGACTGTCCCAGTTCTAATTTAATTGTATGACAGCATTATATAAAAATACAGAAACATCCATCCTTAACCACAAATGCCACCAGCAATATCTTTTATTTTTAATGGGATTTTTTTCAAATTAAGTTTTTCATTAAGTTTAATTAATGCATATTATTTTACTTAATTCAAGAAAAATTAAATAGACATTATTTTAATCTAGACTGCAGAGTTCAGTACCCATTATCTGTCTGTCAGTTTTTGACTGTCAGACTCTTGAACCAGCCTATTTTTAAAAAAAGAAGCATGCTTCAATTTACCTTTTTAAAATTGATACATAATATGTGTACATATTTCTGGAGTCTATGTGGTATTATCTAACATGCATAGGCTGTTCAATGATCACGTTAGGGTATTTGGAGTGTCCATCATCTCAGGTATTTATCATTTCTATGTGTTATGAGCATTTCAAGTCCACTCTTGCAGCTGTTTGGAAATACACGATACATTTTTGCTAACTATAGTCACTCTGCTCTGCCATGAAGCAATAGAAAATTTTCCTTCTATTTAACTATTATGTTTGTACCCATTAACCAACCTCTCTTCATCCTCCTACCACCACCTACACTCCCTTCCCAGCCACTGGTAGCTCTCATTCTACTCTACCTCCATGAGACCAACTTTGTTAGCTCCCACATATGAGTGAGAACATTGAATACTTGTCTTTCTGTGCCTGGTTCATTTCCCGTAACATAATTACCTCCAGTTCCATTCATGTCACTGTGAATGACATGATTTCATTATTTTTTATGACTGAATTATATTACATTTGTATATATACCACATTTTCTTTATGCATTTATCTATTCATGGACGCTTAGATTTTTATATTTTTGCTATTATTAATGGTGTTGCAGTAAACGTGAGGGTGCAGGTATCTTTTTGATATATTGATTTCTATTCCTTTGAATAAATACCAAGTAGTGGGATTGCTGAATCATGTGGCAGTTCTGTTTTTAGTTTTCTGAGAACTCACTATACTGTTTTTCATAGTGGCTATTCTAATTTACATCTTGCCAACAGCGTAGGAGAGTTTCCTTTTCCCTTCATCTTTGCTAGCATCTGTCATTTTTTTTCTCGTTTAAATAACCATCATTATAACTGGGGTGAGATATCTCATTGTGGTTTTTATTTGCATTTTCCTAATGATTAGTGATGTTTAGCATTTTCTTGTATACCTGTTGACCAATTCTTTTGAGAAATGTCTATTCACATCCTTTGCTAACTTTTTAATGGGATTACTTATTTTTTTATTTTTTGAGTTTTTGAGATTCTTGTATATTCTGGATTTTGTATACTCTGGTTCTTGTATATTCTGGATTTTGTATAGTTTGAATTTTGATGTTCTTGTATATTCTCTTGTCAGAGGAATAAGTTTGAAGAGATTTTCTCTCATTCACCAGGTTGTTTCTTCACTCTATTGTTTCCTTTGCTATTCAGAAGCTTTTCAATTTAATATAGCCCATTTGTCTATTTTTGGTTTTGTTGCTTGTGTTTTTGATGTCTTAGCCATAAAATCTTTGAATAGACCAATTTCCTTAAGAGCTTTCCCTACGTTTTCTTCTAGTAATTTTTAGTTGGGGGTCTAATATTTAAGTATTTAATTCATCTTGAGTTAATTTTTGCATATGATAAAAGATAGGGGTCTAATTTCATTCTTGTGCATATGGTTATCCAGTTTTCCCAGCACCACTTACTAAAGAGGATGTCCTTGGTGCCTTTGTTGAAAATCAGTTGGCTGTAATATATGGATTTATTTCTGGATTCTCCATTCTGCTCTATTGGTTTATGTATCTGTGTTTATACCAATGCCATGCTTTTTGGTTACTGGAACCTTGTAATATATTTGGAAGTCAGGTAGAATGATGCCTCCAGCTTTGTTCTTTTCAGTCAGGACTTAATGTTAGCTAATCATGCTCTTTTTCAGTTCCACACAAACTTTAAGAATTTGTTCTGTCTCTGTGAAAAATGACATTGCTATTTTCATAGAGATTGCCTTAAATCTGTTGATTGCTTTGAGTATTGTGGTCATTTTAATGATGTTAAGTCTTCCAGTCCAAAAGCATGGAAGGTTTTTCCATTTGTTTGTGTCCTCTTTAATTTATTTCATCAGAGTTGTTTTCCTCATAGAAGTCTTTCACCTCCTTGATTAAATTGATTCCTAGGCACTTTATTTTATTTTTTGTAGCTGTTATAAATGAGATTGCTTTATTTATTTCTCAGCTAGTTCACTGCGGTATAGAAATAATAGTGGTTTTTTGTAGGTTGATACTGTATCCTGCAACTTTACTGAATTCATTTATCAGATCTAAGAGTTTTTTGGTGAAGTCTTTAGGTTTTTCAGATATAAAACTATGTCATCTGCAAAGGGCAATTTTACTTAGTCTTTCCCAATTTGGATGCTTTTTAGTTTTTCCTCTTGACTGATTGCTCTGGCTAGGATTTCCAGTTCTATGTTGAATAGGACTGGTGAAAGTGAACATCATTGTCTTATTTCAGTTCTTAAAGACTTTCAACCGTTCTCTATTCGGTATGATATTGGCTGTGAGTTTATAATATATTTCAGTCTTTTTATGTTGAGGTGTGTTCCTCCTATGCCTGGTTTTTATCATGAATGAATGTTGAATTTTATAAAATGGGTTTTTTTGCATCTATTGAGATAATCATATGGTTTTTGTCCTTCATTGTGTTTTTATAATATATCCTATTTACTGATTTACATATGTCGAACCATCCTTGCATCCTTGGGATAAATCCTGCTTGATCAATGGTGTATCATCTTTTCTGATGTACTAATGGATTCAAGTTGCTGGTAATTTGTCAAGAACTCTTGTATCTATATTCATCAGGGATATTGATGTCTGGTTTTTTGTTGTTGTTGTTGTTTTCTGTGTCTTTGTCCATTTTTGGTATCAGTGTAATGCTGGCCTCATAGAATGTGTTGGAGATAATTCCCTCCTATTCCTTCTTATGAATTTTTTTAGATAATCTAAGGAGAATTGGTGTGTGTCAGTTTTTCTTTATAACTTTGGTAGAATTAGGCAGTGATTATTTGCTCCCACAGCTTCCTTTGTTGGGAGATTTTTATTGCTAATTCAATCTCCTTACACATTATTGGTATGTTCAGATTTTCTCTTTCTTTATGAGTCAATTTTGGTAGGTTGTATGTGTCCAGAAATTTATCCATTTCCTCTAGGCTTTACATTTTGTTATTATAACAGTCTCTGATAATCTTGTGTATGTATGTGGTTATCAATTGTAATGTCTCCTTCACTTGTGATTTATTGGAGTTTTCTCTTTTTGTATTTTGTATTTTGGTCAGTCTAGCTGTGTAACTAATATGTTACATACAACTAACTAAGTAACAAATAGTTGCAAAGATGTAACTATTTGGTAGGCTCATGGTATTCCATATGTCTGTTCTTTTCTCTTTATTTTTTTCTGACTAGGTTATTTTAAAAGTAATTTCTTCAGGATCTGGAATTCATTTTTCTGCTTGTTCCAATCTACTGTTGAAGCTTTTGAATGCATTTTCCATTTCATTCAATGAATGTTTAATTTCCAGAATTTGTTTTTTTAAAAATCTCTTTTAAATTTCTCATTCATATCCTCTATTTTATTTCTTAGCATTTTTTATATTCTATTATATCTCACTAAGATCCTTCAATCTCATCATCTTGAATTCTTTATCTGGGATTTCATACATTTCTTTTTCACTGGAATCAGTTGCTGGAGAGTTAATTGTGGGTTTTTTGCAGGTGTGGTACTTTCTTGCTTTTCCATTTTTCATTTGTCTTTTATATTGATATCTGTGCATCTGTTATAAAAATCACTTCAATTTTTTGAAATTGCTATCGTGATGGAGGACTTTTTCCTGAGGATGTACCCATGGTGTTGGTTGGTTAGGGTGCTTTGGCTTTGATTCTGGGGGTATGCAGTGGTGTAGTCTTAGTATGATTTATTTGTAAACAACATCAGTAGTGTCTATGATTTTCTCAGTGGCTTAGGGTGTGGTTGTTAGTGGAGGCTGGGGTGAAATTTTGCTGGGGATGGGGACAACATCTGGGCCAATCCTCAGGTCTTAGTGGTGGCATCGGTGAGCTGAGCATGACTTTCCTTGGTCCCCAGGGGAGCCCAGTATGCTGATAGTGGTGTTCGCAAGTCCAGGCAGGCCAATTCTTGGGTTTCCAGGTGGCTTGCTCAGGTGCTAGAAGTGGCAGCAGTGGGCCAGGTCCTTGAGTCCCTGGACAGCAGATGTGGCATGGGCAATAACAGTGGTGGATCAATCATCTGGCTCCCAAGCAGTCTGTGGTTGTTTTGGTGATGACTGCAATGGTCTTCATAGGCCAGACCCCAGGCCTGCATGTGGTGTGTGTGCAGGTGGAGGCCAGCTGTGGTAGCAGCAGGTTGGCTGGGCCTCTGCTCAGTCCCCTGGGAGGAGTGCTGAGGTGTTAATTGTTGTTGATGGGGCAGGGCAGTCCATAGGCCACTGGATGGTGTGTTGGACACTAGGGATAAAGTTAGATTAAGCAGTCTTGTCCTCAGGTCCCTTGTCATGAGTATAGGATGGCTATGATAGACAGAGGCAGGGTGATTCCCAGACCCCTGGCAGAATGCTCAGGTTGGGGTGGGAGTGATCGTACTGTGGCGCAGCTCCTGGGAGGGCAGGGTTGGTTTCAGAGGCAGCAGCCATAAACAGGGAGAGCAAACACTTATAGCCACCCCGTGGTGGCTATAGGTAGTATAGCCTTTCCTTCAGGTGCTCTTAAATGTGCAGTGGCCCTGGTACTGGGGGTGGCAGAGTTGCTGCTAATGGCTCACACTCTGACCCTTGTGGCAGCAGCCAGCAGCAGTACCCGGATACATGTGGGGGAAATCAATGAGGCTCCAAGAATGTGGAGATGCAGGAGGTCTTGGGCCCCAGTACAGGATGCAGTCTAGTGGGGGCTAGGCTCTCAAAATGGTGACCTACTGTAGCTGCTTAGGCTTGGGGTGTGTGTGAGCTCTCTCTCTGGCACAATGTCATTGCCTGTTCTCCAGGTAGCTCCCTATATTAGTCTCAGGACCCGTGAGGATCTTGGGCCTTTCTCTTGGCTTTAATTGCAGGAATTCATGGTAGAAATGTTGACTGTTGGGGGTCAGCTTTTTCTCCACATACTCACCAGCATCCATAACTTCCTGACTTTTTGATACAAAACAGTTTAACTGGAGTGACATGATATTTCATTGTAGTCTGGATTTGCATTTCTGTGATGACTAGTGATGGTGAGTATGTTTTTAATATCCCTTTTGTATATCTTCTCTTAAGAAATGTCTATTGAGATCTTTTGCTTATTTTTTGATTGGATTATTGCTTGAGAGTTCCTTACATATTCTGGTTATTAATACCTTGTCATATGAATAATTGACAAATATTTTCTCCCATTCTGTCGGTTATCTCTTTATTTTGTTGGTTTTCTTTGCTGTGCAGAAGCTTCTTAGCTTGATGTAATCCCTTCTGTCTGTTTTTCAGCTACTCTCCAGATAGTTGCCTGTCAGTCTTAGGGCCTATGAGAATCAAGAGGCTTCCCCATGGCTGTAATTGCAGGAGTTCATGGTAGGAATGTGGACCACTTGGGGCACTCACCCTTTCCCTGCTCTGGGGAGCCTCTCCAGCTCCCAGTGGGATCCCACCTGAGCAAACCACCTCATTTCCCTCTCTTTCCTTGCATTGGGATTTTTTTTTCTGTCAATTATCTGTTGAATTCTAGCATTCTCTCTTAGATGATCTATTAGAAATGTGATTATCTCCTTGCTATTTTGGTTCTTCTTTGTGGACAAGGCAAGTATCAGTTGACGTTGAAACTCAGAGTGCTGACCAAAAGGGATAATTTCTATTTCTTTTCCTGGTATAACATTTTATTCATGGTCCAGTTTTGACTAAGTTAATAAACTTTTGCAGACAAGCTTGTTTTATCTATTTAAGCATTTATGGAAAGTGCCTTAAAATTCCTTGCTTTTATTAGAAGCAAAACTCCAGGGATAAACAGCTGGTAACATTATATAAGACAAATGTACCATTAATGGACAGGAAGCCTCTGGGGAGTGCCTCTTTTCTAAAGGCACATGGCTAACTGATGTTAAGGTTCCTGGGTTTAGCCTCCTAACTTTCTGATTTGTCTGTATAGGAAACTTTCTACTGCTAGTAATTAGCACTCTCTAGACATCTGTTTCCCTGGGAAAAAACACATAAGCCACAGAAAGATTAAATCTAATTATTATGATTTCCATTTCTGGAGCAATGCCTTTTCATAAATAATTACGTCTTAGAGCAAAACTGGCAAATTTTATTCACTGGCCCTATCATTCATAATAATGAATAGATTTATAACCCATACGCTCATTAACTACAGAAGGCTAATTAGGACTTTAACCAAAAACACCATTATGTGAACTGCTCACTGAGGTCATCATAGAATTTTGGCTACAAAATCACCCACTTCTTACTCTGTATCCAGAACCCAAGGGCAAGAGTGAAATAGTATCTGCCACATCAGGAAGAGGAGTTTACAGCTGTGTATGAAGTGACCCTCATATAGAGGCAGGTTCTTGTATTCCTGAGGCTGTACGCACTCAAAACATGTGAAAATAAAAATTATGGCAGAATAAGATAATCATAAAAAGGTCAGCGGGTAGACATAAGAAAGACCAATACCACATTCTCACAGAGGCATAAGATTTAAAAAAAAATAAAGAAAAAGATTAAAACTGTTAAATATACATGGTGATGAAGAATACTATCACATTTTTGTCTAAATTTTTGTATATTTAAAATAATTTATAGGGTTTTTTATTATTATTACACTTGAAGTTTTAGGGTACATGTGCACAATGTGCAGGTTAGTTACATATGTATACATGTGCCATGCTGGTGTGCTGCACCCATTAACTCATCATTTAGCATTAGGTATATCTCCTAATGCTATCTTTTAGCAGTTTCCTCGTTTCAGGTCTTAGATTTAAGACTTTAATTCATTTTGAGTTGATTTTTATACATAGTGAGAGATAGGGTCTAGTAAGCTGATTAGGTTACTCTAGCTTTGTAGTATATTTTGAAGAAGTCAGGTAGTGTGATGCTGCCAGTTTTTTTTGTTCTGTTTTATTTGTTGTTGTTTTCTCCAGATTACTTTGACTATTTATATGGAACCACAAACGAACAAACAAAAAACACAAGGTCTTTTGTGGTTCCATATAAATTATTTCCATGAAGAATGATATTGATATTTTGATAGAGATTGCACCAAATGTATAATTGCTTTGGATGGTATGGACATTTTAACAACATCGGGGAAACACTCCAGGACATTAGTTTAGGCAAAACCTCTTGTGTAAGACCTCAAAAGCACAGGCAACAAAAACAAAAGTAGACAAATCCGATTACATAAAGCTAAAAAGCTTTGGCACAGCAAATAAAACAATCAACAAAGTGAATAGACAACCCACAGAGTGGGAGAAAATTTTTATCAATTAGTCATATGACAAAGTATTGATAATCAGAATAAGTAACTCAAACAAGTCAATAGTAAAAAATAATAATCCATTTAAAAATGGGCAAAAGGTCTAAAGAGACATTTCTCAAAAGGGGATATACAAAAGCACCAACAGGCATACAAAATGAACACTCAACATCACCTGTCACAGAAATGTTAATCAAAATTAAAATGAGATATTGTCTCACACCAGTTAAAATGGTTTTCATCAAAAAGTCAGGGAATTATGAATGCTGGCCACTATGTGACGTGAAAGGAACCCTCATACACTGTTGGTGGGAATGTAAATTAGCACACACGCTATGGAAAACAGCACTGACGTTCATCAAGAAACTATAAATAGAGCTACCATATGATCCAGCAATTCCGCTACAGGATATATATCCAAAAAATTAAAAAAGGAAATCAGTATATTAAACAGTTACCTCCACTTCCGTGTTTACTGCAGCTGTAGTCACAATCGCCAAGATATGGAATCAACCCAAGTGTCCATCAAAAGATGAATGGATAAAGAAAAATGTGCTATATACACAAATGGAATATTATTCATCCATAAAAAAGAATTAAATACTATTATTTGCAGCAACATGGATGGCAGTGGAGGTCATTATGTTAAGAAAGATAAATATCTCATGTTCTTAATCATATGTGGGAACTAAAAACATGAATCTCATGAAGATATAGAGTAGAATGATGGTTACCAGAGGGCAGGAAGGGAATGGGGAAATGAGGGACAAAGAGAAGTTGATTAATGAGAGTTAATACTCGTGGATTCGATAGAAGGAATAAGACCTAGTGTTCGATATATCCGTAGGGGGACTATAGTGAACAATAATCTACTGTACATTTCAAAATAGCTAGAAAACAATAATTTGAATGTTCCTAGCATACAGAAAAGATACAAATTTAATGTGATGGGTATATCAATACCGTGATTTGATCTTCTCTCAGTATTTGAATATATCAAATTATCACAAGCACCCCAAAAATATGTACATCTGTTATGTAACAATTTTAAAAAACAGCAAAAAATCTTATAATGGTTTCAAAGACTTTCAAAGCCATATCATTCCAGTTTTTGTTTTAAACACAGCTACTCCCTGGCTTCTTTTCTGATATCTTGCACTCTACTTTAGAATTCATAAATTCCATACTTTCTAATGCTCTGCTATCTCATTGATTCACTATGGGCCCCTGATTGCAAAATAATAATAATAGGTTTTTTTTGAGCTTCTTGCATTCTCCCTCACCAAGCCTAGTTCAGAACTTGACATTCATAAGTGCTCCACACGTACTGCATATTGGCCTTTTATCTGCTTCCACAATTATGCTGAAGAATGTTTGTGCTTATTCTGAATAACATTTGTGAGAGATTCTTCTAGCTCCCTCAAAGAACAGCCAGTGCAGTTTAATTTACTAGCTCATAAAGTACTCTGTAAAAACAGAAGGAGAGAAACTAACAAATGAGGCTCTGGCTGAGGACAGGACAAGATTATAATTTACGATGTGTTCCCAAACAGGATTTACTCCCAGTAGGTAACAAATGGCATGCGCACCAACGAATCACCATTCACTAGCTGTGTCCTGCCTAGCTCTGAGTAGAGTCAGTTAATCTACTGCCTTTCACTCCACTCTGCAGTGCAATTTGGTAAATTAGCAATAAGGTCTAACCTAAAGTGCATTACACATGCAGTTAGCTATCATAATGCATATGCTATGCTTCATTTACACAATCCGTTACACCCATTTCCAGTGGTTGATTTTACCTTTTATGACTGATTCAATGTTGTTTCAGGAGCTAAGACAAATTGATACCTTAGCAAATTCATCCAATGCCTCATAAACTTTTTGTGTAGGCTTCCTTGAACTTCCTTTGAATTGCTATACAGAGCCAAAAGAAAGAATCTCCATCTCCCAGCATGTCATCTTACAGTAACTATGTTTACTATATATAAGCCTATTAAAAACCTCCAGGGCAATTTTAGGATTTTTAAAGCAGATTTAAAAAATAAAAATAAAAACAAAGGAAGAATGACTTTTTATATATATATATATATATAAAATATAATATATAATATATATAACATATATAATATATTATAATATATGTAACATATATAACATATAAAATATTATTCTTCCTTTGTATATATTATATATTATATATATATATATAAAATATATATATAAAATGATCTCTAGCCCAGTTTAGTGCTAGTGCAGTGATTTGTACTAAGCCTTCAGCAATTTTACCCACTACTGTTTTTGTACCATTAGGGCAAATTTCAAAAACCAAAAATAGGAAATAATGTCTTAGTGTTATTATGAGAATAGCTCTGACCTTGTGGACCTCCTGAAAAGGTCTCAGGGATTCTCAGGATTCTCTAGGGGTTGGTTCATGGATCCTACTTCGAGAACCACTGTCTTGGAATTTAGGACACAGAAAAACTCTTATACTGTGTGCTGCTTTAAGATTACATACAAAAATGGAACAGTTAATTGTTTGCACTTTTTCTCTAAAAAAATGTTTTTGCTCAACAACATGCTTTTCTGCAGAAACAAAAATGACCCTTTACGTCACCCACCTCTTCCATGACTGGTTACCTTATGCTGCCACAAAAATAAAGCTGGTAATAACCAATGGAATTACCTAATCTAGGCCTTTTACACACAAAGAAACAGAGACAATGAGGAAAAAATTGACTAGAGAAAGGCTACAAGTTGAAGTCTTCTGATTACTAGCCAAATCATTTTATTTTTGCATATATGACTCTATCCAACCATGTCATTCTTCTCTCTTTAGCAATGTTGACTCCCCCCATCCCTCTGTATTCCCCTTTTAATCAGACTCGCTCCTAATCATATGCAGCAGTGTCTCATGCTTTTATTTTGCTAGTTCAAACCACGTTTTTAAAATATTATCTCTAGGGGGTGTGATTACATTTAAACACTGTGTCCTAGCCCAAAGCAATTAAAAATAGTTTAGTCTAAATTTCTGAGTGATAAAGTTTAAGGAGAAAACAAAACGAACATAACTTCTAATTATCTTTGCATGAATTTGCAAAGAAATATTGTTTAAACATGAATAATTGCAGTGGAGGGGAAATGAGTTCACCCTGGAACGCTGTCTCTGAAGATAGCAGTTTACTCCACCCTTCAGTGGCTGTAACCTTGCCTAAATTAAATATAATGAGTAAGAAATTATTCAGAAAGTAAGAGAGAAGAAAAGTGTATTCGATATTTTCAGTCCTAAATTACAGGTTTACTAATCTAGCTGTACCATATTGCAGATGTTGCTTGATTCATTATAAGTGAACCAGAGCAAATTTACTCCTACTGAGAATAGAATCGTTACCTTAACCCAAAGAAAGATGACGTGAGATGCAGTGACCATCAAGCATTGGATAACAGCTTTAAAAATGTTTCCAACTGAAATCTATGCTGCCTTTACCTATTAAAATGTGGTTAACAATTCCCTTGTCAGTCATTTTAGTGCTATTTAGGTCTTGTTAATTGAATTTAAAGGAGCACTTTTATAATAGAAAGAAGAAAAGGACAGACTGGGTTTGAATATCTTTCCCAAAATAAAAAGAGCCTTTTTATGTCCAGCGTTTGGAACAGGCTGGTGGCCTATTTAAAATGAAAATATTTAAAAAGTGAGATGTTATGTTGTTTCTAGGATCTCACTGTAATAATCTGAATGCCAAGGACTCTACTAGATCTGGACATTGTAAAGCTGAATTTTTTGGCAGAGCTTAAAAGCTAGAGTTTTTAATGCTTAAGTTTGGGAATTATACCTTAGGTCTTACCAGGTTTTGCATAATACAAATATAAAGATGGCTTCTGGCTTATACCAGCTGAGTTTATCCTTCACCAGACAGTTCTAGTTTATGGTACAACAAACAAACAAGGGTAGCTGCACACTTCCTGTCAATCTTTCATGGTCTTTAATGGCTCAGATTTAGTGAGGACGATACAGTAGATTTCCTCTTGCGGTGTTAGGCCCATTAAATAGGCATCCATGGCTGTAGGTTTAAATATATCATCCAGCATTTAGACTTTAGCCATACTAAACTATTAGAAATGGGAACTCATTTTTGTATCCTATATTATGAATTGAATGTGATTGTCAAAAATCCCACCCTATTTCTAAAATACTGGTTCAAATACTTTTTGTGGCATTTTTCTCTGACACAACAATTTTTTTGTCAAACATTCTACAATTTAGGAGAAAAGCTGAAACAGTGAGTACACTCGAGGCACTAAAAGCAGACCTGAAATCCTTTCCCCGCTACAAGTTTGGACTAAAAGTTTTTGGACAAATGATAGAAATAGAAGGGCTCCTGCTGATAAATCCTTCCAGCTCAGTGTTCATTCCTTTATTGACTATGGATGGGACAGAACCCTAGCAGGAAATTTTCAATGAGCCATGGTAAGAGATAAAGCAATGCCAAATCTGATGACTGAAGATAAACACGAATACTCCAAGTCCAAATCAAGGGCTGAGTGGAACAAGCATGAATGTTTGGCTGTTCACCTTTGCTGAGTACAAACTGAGAGCTTCATACTGGAAAGATGACTCCACTCTCAGCTATAAACTTGGAGTGAAATTAAAACTGGAAAAGAAAACAAGGGGCAATTTACCTCTGTTTTACAAAAAAAGCAAATATCTTTAGGTTCAACTCTCAATTATTAAGAGACAGAAGTATTTGGAGCTGAAACTGGCTCAAAGAAGTAGAAATGTGAGAGAAAGAAGAGGAGTTTAAATTTATGTTTCATGTTCTAGGTACATTCCAGAATATCAAGAGAATGCAAGAGAATGTGAATAATAATAGCAGCCACACTTATTGAGCATTTATTGTAAGAATCACTCTGTCCTTCATGTGCCAAAATGAGAATAAAGCAAGGCATATATTAAGATGCTCTTTTTACAAGTATGGAAAAAGAGTAAATGCAAGAGAGATAACAATCAAATATTAAAGGTCACCAGTAGCAAAATGCACTGCTCAATTCTGCAATAGTCTACGCTCAGACTTCACTGCCTGGGCTGCTTAACTGTCACCCCATGAAGGTTATCTGAATTTTTACTTTTACATATATCTATGTTTGATTTTAAATGTCTGTATATCTGTATCTATCTTATTTGCATCTATTAGTATATATAGATATACATACATATACATATATGCACATTTATTAATGTATGAAGATATACAGACACATAAATACATACATGCATATATATATACACATATATATATGTAAAAAGAGACAGACAGAAAGACAGAAAAAATTCTGTATAGCTGTAAATTCATCCCTGTAGTTCAATTCCCTTAGTCAGGAGAAAAGAAATTGGGCTACAGTTCCTTTTCATTAAAATTGCATTTGAACTATTACACTTGGCTTAAATATGATTATACTCTTTTCTCAAATAAATCTGTTTCTTGTTAAAAAAATGTGGATTTTATGCACTAGATCATAACCTTAAGTCTTTCCTGAGCACACTTTATTAATAAAAATTAAGTGTTAACAATGTTTGTAAAAATTCTACAGATATAATATGTTGTATGCTTTCACGAGTGTAAAAATAAAAGTTAGATTCTTTGTCATTAAGAAGGGCCAAGAAAAGGAGAGTATGAAGACTTCTGTGTAACACCCAACACTGTGATTCTTCATGACTAATGAATGTACAATAAACAAAATTCAAAAATGGGGCTAGAGGGAGCCAGACTGATCTGAAGCTTCTGGTTGAAGCAAACTAAACCAGGGCTGAGTTATGCTTGAATCCCATAGGTAAGGTTGTTTAATGACACTTAAAAATAGCTTGAACAGATATCAATTATAGGAGAAATGACTACAAATGAATCAGAACTTATCAAATTGTTGGTGCCTTGGACAGTGTTAAAAGTCCCTGAAATAATAAGTGAAGACTATCTGAGACAGGCGTTTGGCTAAAGTGGAGGGACCTTGAAGGCCCACTCAGTTCTCACATCCACAAAATCTTTCACTACTGATTTGTATCTGTAACCTCAATCAGTCTTATATGGTAAATTCTGATCTTCTTGGTTAATCAAGTGGATATATTGATCCCTGGATTAAACAGAATGAGCTTAAAGTATAGATAATGTAAAACTAAAAATAAGTATAGATGTAATGGCTATTACAGGTGTCACGGTCAACTGTTCTGTTGCAAGTTAGTTGTTGGGGGACTTCTTTTGTTTTACATGTGTTCAAATTCATCAAAAAATAGAATCATATTTTAAATATTTTAGATAAAATCTACTTATATCCAATAATGTGAATATTTAATTTTAAATAAAATGCATACAAAATTAAACATCACAAAATGAAAAAGCCTGGAAAAGATGATACACTGAAATCTTTCTCATTTTCTTTTGAAGATAAGGTACTAATAAAAGGAGTCTTCAAAGATGTATCTCACCACTTGACAGCAATATTCAAGGACATCAATTATACCTTTATCAAGTAGAGAAATAAGAAATATTCCCAGGTTTATAGAATGAGGCTTATTTGATTGTCTAAATTTTACTAAATAAATTCTTAGACAAATAACATTATACATGAGAACTCAGCAACATTAATTGAAAAAAATTTCTTTAAGTAAATCATATTGTGAATTTAAGGGAGTGAAGTTTGGTAAAAATACTGACCTTGCCTCTAACTTGGGACTCTAGTATTCATATAGGACATTTTGAACACGGATTTTAAACCAAGACTGCTACTATTATAACACCTTAAGCTAAATTTAAAGCAATAAAACAAATTAGACTTCAAACAAAATTCATCTAGGGTTATAGAATAAATATGGACCAAAAATATGGATTTTTGAAATTCAGTTAATTTTCTAGTGACGAAGTGTGAATTATCTTACAGATGTGTTCAAAAACTTAACTTCAGAGAGACATAATCTATAGTTTTGCCTCTGTGTCCATCCTTGGATAAAACAGACTGGAGGAACCATGTGCATGACCCAGTAAACTACTTTGCAATAATTTACTTATACAACACATATTGGAGTGCCAACTATGTGTCTGGAATCTGGGGCTTCCTGCTGAGATTACCTAAGAGATATAGTTAAATATGCAGTGGTTACTATATTACTACCACGGTCCTATATTAACATAATGAACACATAACTGCAGTTTATCTATGGGCTAAGTATCATAGTAACAAAATATAGAGGATCAAAACATCTGGGTATACAAGGACAAATAAAGATGCATAACAAGATGTTTTAATATATCTCTTTCATTTTTTAACCAAATAAAAAAATGAAAAGTGACATAAGAAAGCAGAATAAAAGAAATGAATAAGAATTCACACTGAACTCAGTATGCTGGGGGAAAAAGTGTATTTTCTCTTCAAGTATCCAAGAAACAATAAAATGTTGAAAGTACGTTTGGCCACAAGGACAAAATTAATAAATTATTTATATTGGAAAGAGTATAAATCATATTCTGTGACTACAATCTCATTTAAAAAAACAATAGAAATCAAAAGTTAAAATTATTATACATTCACCCCATTGGATAGTCAAAAGCATTCTTCTAAACTTCTTTAAGGCAAAAGGAAATTAAAAAGCTCAATTGCTGAAAAAAATCAGTAAGAATACCTTTCCTTTCAAAATCCATGGGATGCGATCAAAGAACAACTAATTTTAAAGGAGGAGATGGAACAAAGGGAATGACTGTTTGTTCTGTGGTTGTTATCACTTTTAGGATTAGGACAGGGCAGATAATAAAAGTTCAGTCAGTTGGTCATGCTGACTAAACCACACAGTAATGAAGCCAGAGAAGATCCTGGTCATTGTATTGCGTCTATGTGCCAGCTGAATGAGCTTGTACACAGCTCCCTGTCTTTAATAATGGAGATGATAAGTACTTCCTTCATGAGGTTATCATGGAGAGAGTAAAACAGTGCTTGGTACTAACCAGATTTTCAATATCAGAATATTAGCAAAATTCCAATGGGGGAAAATCCGAAGAATAGTAGAGTAAAATATATCAAATGTTAAAAAAGAGAAACAACTTAAGAGTTGAGAAATTATGATTGGATTTGAGCATCAAGATGCCACTTGAAATTTCAAGAAGGCAATTTCAGAAGATTGAGGGGAGGTCAAGATTATAGACTGAAGGAGCTTATAATGTTCCCAAATAAAGTTTTTTGGGGAAAAAGTCATCCAGGATTTCTAATAGCCATTTCTTTTATATCTATAATTTCAACTTTTATTTTAGATTCGGGGGATACGTGATGTGCCTGTTTGTTACATGGGTGTATCACATAATAGTGAGATTTGGAGTACAATTGATCTCATCGCCCAGGTAGTGAGTGTAGTATTCAATAGTTAGTTTTCAACCTTGTAACAGGCATTTCTTAATGACTGGTATATGGAAGTCATTTTGCAAAGCTACTTTAAGATGGAAAGAAAAAATATTTCACTCACTTTCCTGTGTTCTCTCTGTTGGCATCCAAAAGGCTCATCAGCATTATTTACTTAATCACAAGTGCTCTGTATTTTTTATATAGCATAGTCATTCTCTAATGTGTTTAACAAATATTAATTGAGCCACTATGACAGTGTCAGTCTTTTTGTTTGAAGCTGGAAATTAATAATATCCATCTCAGAAGGTAAATCAAATACGATTTTTAAGACTAGCCAAAAATCCGACTATTTATGTACAACATATCAATTTTTAAATGTTGACTCAAAAATATTAAGGCCAACTAAGAAACAAAATAAATAAAATCTTAAGTAGAGTTTATCCTTTATCATCGATCTGACAGTTTAGTCATTGGTCTCCAATTTCACATCTATTCTAATTTTAATCTCTTTCAAATTTCCTACACAACTCATGTCATTTTCTGAAAAGAAAAAAAAAAGGCTTCTAATGTACAAGAGATTCAAAATTAAGGAAGACAGAGAAGTATTACATACTCTTAGAGCATTTATTTCATGGCCTGTGTCACCTCATTTTATGGGAAAGTTCCATGCTGACCAGATTTCTGATTAAAGGTGGATTTGACTGAGAAGAAAGTTGACAGCTCTACATCAACTGAACAAAATCCTTTTCAGAAATGAAACAAAAGTACACTTTTCTTTCAGGTATAATTCTTTCACAAAAGTCACAGACTTTCCTCAGCACTTAGCAATCCCCAACTCTTAATGCCAGGAAATCCATAAAATACCAATTATTCTATACTTACATAATATATTTGAATTGAGTAATTATTACCTTCTAGACATTGTACAGAATGCTTGCATTAATTATTTTTCAAAAATAGCATGAATAAAGAACTATGATTATTTTCATTTTCAAATGAGAAATCAGAGATTCACACAAAGTAAATAGTTTGCCACAGGTCACATAGCTGAGATTCAAATTTATGATTAAGTGATAAGGCTAGAAGGACCAGATGAACTAGGTAAGTTGAAAATAATAAAGGACTGAGGATCAAAGAACAAAAAATAAGAGGAAAGAAGAAAACAGCATAAAGAAAAGGTGGCAGTTGTAATAACAGAGATAAAACCCCACATCCAATAGTCTGCCATTACAGAGTTCTATGATTGCATTTTATCCTTTACAGAGAGACAGAGACTGAAGAAGGACTTTTGGACTGCACCTTCTGTTAAAAATTGTCTGTAACTTTCCAAGAACATCTGACAATAGAATCCAGAGAGATACTACAAAATGTGTGATTATTTCTCTTCTTTCCCTAATTACTGAGTAGAAAAAAGCAGCAGCAAGACGAAAATGGGAGCGCGTGTGCTATTTTTTCATCTTTGCTCCAAATGAGGGATTTGGGCAGATATATTCATATTTCACTGCTTAACTTTAAAAACAGTTCTTCTGGGATTCTCTTTCCTGATGGAATTATATAGCACTGAGTGTTATGTTTTTAATAAGATTCAAATCAGAAGTCTTTGACAGAGAAAAATGTACCCCAAAGGTCAAATGTGTCACTGGGAAGACTAGAGGATTCAATAGAGAAATAAGCTACACTGTCATTTATTACAAAGGAGTCAGAAGAGTCTCTCTTCATACTTTGCTTTCTTTGTATTTAGCAGTACAAGTATAATCTGTGGACCTTAAAATATTAAAAGATGAATAAGAATATTTCCTTGAAAATAAGATGCCATTTAAATCAATGTCAAAGTTATGTAAAAGTCAAGTAATGAGAAGACCAGAATTATTCTTCATGATTTTATTAAACCGTAGCTGGTATATCAATCCATCACTTGCCAAGGTTGTCTAGAATGCATACGTAACTGTTCTTTGTGAATGGAAACGAGCTGAAGAAAGAGGAAATGTCTGATATCCACAGTGCAGCGTGACAGGTCACTCTATGGAAGAGCAAAATAATTTAGCCATGGGTCTTCTCTATTGCTGAAAAATCAGCCTGACAATAGTTACAGGTTTAATTGTAGTTCTAATTTTTGTGCTGTAGAATTCATCTGCTGCTGAGAAACTACTTTGTTGTGTGTTTCTAAATCATTTGACATTTAGAGGTGTTATGAAGGTCGTGAGATTTATAATAAATACCAAACTTCAAAAAGAGATGTATTTTTAGTCATTTCTTAAGACCAAATGATGTGCAGAAAATTATGTAGGTGGAACAATAATAGGAATAAAGGAAGTGGCTAACCAATTTTGTTGCACCTTATTTTCTTTAATATTGGTAATTTTTAAAAGGTTGTGTGTTCTTGTGCTTTTAAATCTAGTTTCTAATGTGTTCTGCTGCCACATGGGTATAATACAGTCTGGTCAAAGGTTGTAAACCCCAATGTTTACAGAGTTTACACAGTGAAATTCAAGAAGTAAAGTGAGTCCATTTGGAGAAAAATCACACTGCCATTTTGCCCTATATTTTTGTCATCCATCTTTTGACAGAGCTCCAATGAAGATAAAACTCAGGTGCTATAGAAGTTTGATGATGAATGGCAAATGTTGTTTAATACTGGGATCAGAGACAAGGGGGAATGGCAAGGACTTTGATGAAGTGGAGACCCCAGAGATTTCAGCCAATCCCATTTGACTGCTGCCTTTGAAAATGCAGGTCCAGAGCTACCCAATCTTTTAATTTTTTTTACATTTCTGAAAACGTTTCTAAAACAAAACACAAACAAAATGCAACTGTAAAATTACATTTAGGTCACAGGCTTGGTATGATGTATCTTGTAGTCAGAAGTGTAGAGTACAGATATCACAAAAATCATGCAGTTATGTGTGAATTAGTAACATTTGGAGAACACCTCTACTGTGGGTCTGTCTTGATGTCTATTTTGTTCTTGAGTTCTTCTAGGTTGTGTGTGCAAGGGGAAGGGAGGGGAAGGAGTGAAGAGGGCCATATAGACCAGACTGCAGGAAGTCACAGAGTTGAAACACACTGCAAGAAACTCTGTATACAGTCATGTGCCACATAACATTTCAGTCAACAATGAATCCCATATACACCAGTGGTCTCATAAGTATTTTTACTGGACCTCTTCTATGTTTAGGTGTGTTTAGACAAATACTTACAATTGTGTTACAGTTGCCAGTAGCATACTATATGGGTTTGTAGCCTAGGACCAACAGGCTATACCACACAGCCTAGGTGTGTAGTAGGTCATGCTATCCAGGTTTGTGTACATTCACTCTGTGATGTTCCCACAACAAGGAAAACTTAATGATGCATTTCTCAGAATACATCCCTGTCACTAAGCGAGGCATGACTGTATTTAGTGCTGAAATCAAATTTACTGTTAGCTAGTTTTATGACACTGTATAAATCATTTAATATCTCTATGCTAATTATTTCCTCTTTTGAATTGATGACCGCTAGACTAGATAATGTCTAAAATGTCTTCCACCCCTAAAAATCTAGAATAGATGTAGACAAAGTATTTCACAGCTTCTCAATGACAACTACCAAAGTTATTAATTATACTGTATCTAGCCTATAATTCCCCATTAAATCTTTTTTCATAATCCTTTTCACTGATATGATTTTCTTATTTAAAATTCCCTTTTTATAAACTTTCATACATTTTGGTTTTTTTATTCTTCCCATGCCTATGCCTTAAGAAGAGGATGAAAAATAGATTTCATCTTCTGTCAGGTCTAATATCAGAGCAGCTTCCCAGAAGACTGTGTTCAAAAGGATTGTGAGCACTTCCGGAAGTGCTGCACGGAGCATGATTGATTAGCAATGTCTGTATGGGCGAGGGAGAACAATTTACACTTTATATCACAGAAATGAGTTTAGAAGTATTGGTTCTGAATTCTAAGATTTCAAAATTACTAAACCCTAGATTAAACATCCACGATTCATGACTTTCTCCCTACTGTTCTTGAGACTTTAGGGTTTTTTTTTTTTTTTTTTGCCAAAAATATCAAACTTCCTTTTATTTATTTTTTATTCTTTGGCAGTCATAGAGCAGGTACTTTTTTTCCATCAAATTATAGGAGATCCTATCAAAAAATGCCTTAAGTTGTATTTCAAAATTCTGAAAAATCATAGGCAAAATGTACAAACTATGTTGAACTGAAATTAAGCAAAGTTAATTGTGCTAATATCCGGGGAAAAGAAATTGGGCTACAGTTCCCTTTTCATTAAAATTGCATTTGAATTATTACATTTGGCCTAAATATGATTGCATTCTAAGGCATTTTCTAACAAATGAAGCACTCAGTTTTTTTTATTCTTCACCACTAAGCATAGGAGTAGTGTGAAATGTACAAGACCTGTCAAAATCTTATATTAATATATAAGCTTCTTGCTAGGTTTTTGTGCCAACTTTCTAAAAATATTTGTCAGGAGCAATTCTTGTAATTTTATGAGATTTTAATTTTTATCAAGTAGAGTTTTTAAAGGTTCTGATTTTTAAATTTCCATATGTAAAATTTGTAACAATAATTATAATTTTATTATTTGTAGTACCTACTACAAACTAAGATAGGGAGGACTGCCTAATAGAAATCTATTTCTTCCTTGGTTAAGAAATAATATTAATTTGCAAACGATTCTATTAATTATCAGTATATAAATGTGTGCCATTTTAGGGGGTTAAGATGCCTAAAAAAATATATTTTTTAAAATGGAGCATTATCTTAAGTAACCTTCATGAAGAAAGAGTTTTCTACATTTATATACATTGAAATTACCACCAGTATAAATTTTTGAATTAGTAAAGAATAAATTAACATGTGGTTATCTACTGTATTAGCCCGATTTCACACTGCTCATAAAGACATACCTGAGACTGACAATTTACAAAAGAGAGGTTTAATGGACTCACAGTTCCACGTGACTGGGGAGGCCTCACAATCATGGCGGAAAGGTGAAAAGCACATCTCACATGGCAGCGGACAAGAGAAGAGAATGAGAGCCAAGCAAAAGGATTTTCCCCTTATAAAACCATCAGATCTTCTGAGGTTTATTCACTACCATGAGAACAGTATGGTGGAAACCACCTCCATGATTTAATTATCTCCCACTGGGTCCCTCCCCCAGCATGAGGGAATTGTGGGAGCTACAATTCAAAATGAGATTATGAGATTTGGGTGGGGACACAGCCAAATTATATTAGCTGCCATTCAAGTTAATACTTCTTAATAAATATATTTAAAAGAAAAGCAGAACTTTTAGGAAAAAGATAGCCACACTTTGAAAATTCAGGTACTGAAAAATGTTTTCTCATGTAGCTTGTTCAGATGAAAATTTTAAATCACACTTAAAGTACTGCTTGATATTAAAAATCTATCTCTTCTTCTTGCTTTTCCCCCAAGATCCAGAAGTCAAGGCTTTTCCAATCATGGTGGTATGCTTGGAAATCTCCAAGGTTCTAAATAAAAGCTCTCTCTGGATTCCATGAGAAGAATTTCTGGGTGGGTCACACAACTACAACTTTAACTCTGGCAGAACTGTTAGGTGAAGAGCTGTTGACCCAGAGGGAAAGGAGTCCATTTATTTTTCATGCCTGCTAAAGAAAATTAGTCCAGCTATTCTGACAAACAACAGCAACAACAAGAAGCACATCTTATTTCTCATTCTGAGCTATTCCCCATTCAAAACCATGCCTCTTCTACTTTTGAGAATCTTTTTCATTACAATTTTATGGTCTCTAAAATTCTAAAAATTTTTCAAACCCAAAAATCTCCGATAATTGTCACATGATCTGAAATATTGCAATCTCTGAAACTTCACAGTTCTAGGAAGTATCAATTATTACATGTATGCAAGTCTTTTATTATCATGAGGTAATTAATATACATTGGTTATGGAAAAGCACCAAAAATGATACTATAGAATTACAGGATTAGTTTTAGCGTTAAAGGGAACCACATACCCTGAAGTGTGTCCTTAATTATTCAGAAGCAAGTAATCATCTACATGGAATATATGAATAATTAATGTCTACTTTAACGCACTTTAACGGAACTCTTCTTTTGTACAGTGAATCAACATATTCAACACTAAAAAGTTTAAAGTTTTAACAAACTTAGAGGTGATATCAGTAGCGGGAACTCAGGCTTGGGTCTTTGTCTTTATTACATTCTCCTCCTGGGTTCTCTCATCTAGTGCTACGTCTATAAATAGCAATTATGTGCTGCTGATGTCTCTAAAGTTTATTTGTCCAACTCAGTCTGCTCCACTATATTCCATATCCATTCATTCAACTGCTTATTTGATCTTTCCACTTGGATAGATATCTAGTAAATATATTAAACTTAGTACTCCCAAAAGTCAACTCTATGTTGCAATTTATAAAACCTACTCCTCTACCAATTTTGACCACTGGGGCAAAAAAATGCCACCATCTTCTCTGTAACACGGTTGAAAATACCACACGTCATTCCAGACTCCTTGCTTACACTCTCTCCATGCTATCTCCAGCAAGCCCTGTTTTATTCTACCTGTAAAACATAACTTCAATGTGTCCATTTCTGTCCATCCCTACTGCTACCACCCTAGTCCAAACCACTGTCATCTCTTCCCAGGAAACTGCAGTAGGCTCCAAAATAGATTACTGCCTATATTCTTCCCTCTTCCACAGTTCATTTTCCAACAAAAAGAGCAGCCAGAATAACCTTTTACAACAATAAATCAATCTATGCCACTCCCCTGAACAAAACCCTACAGTGACTTTACACTGTATTAAGAATAAAATCGAAACTGTTTTTCTACAAAGACCATTATCACCTAATCTCTGCCTTATTCTTTGAATCGTCTATGTTTATTATTTTTTGTTGTTAGTTTCTGCCTGCATGAATTATTAGCTCCAAGAGGGCAGAGATTTTTCTGTCCAGTAAACCTTTGGCCTAGCCCCTAGAGCAGTGTGTGGTGTATAGTAGACTCTGAATAAATGTTTCTAAAAAGAATGACTGAGATTTCCCAAATATGATTACAGATGTATGCCTGCAAAATGAAAGGAGGGGTAGTGGTGGTCATTGTACTAAAATAAGGTCACATATGACACATTTCTACATTTTTTTAATTAAACAATAAACTGAGAGGTCCCTGCTATTCAGGTGGTAGAGCTTTAGTTCCTTCTTTTAATGGTGCATAATATTGCATTAAACAGCTCAAAAATTTTTCAGCCACTGTCCCCACTAATAACCTTTCTTCGTTTTTTTTTTTTTTTTTTTTTTTTGCAACAAAATATGAGAGTATCGTTTTCCCACAACCATTCCATTTTTAAGCTTTAAAGAAGCAGGATTTTTTTAAATTTTAGCATTTATTCAGTTCCATCATTTGTTTATAATTATTGGTATGCTCTTACTGTAACTTTTTTCTATTTTAAATAATTTTTACCTTTTCTCTTATTGTTCTTTAGTTTTATGTGTTCTTAATTAAGAAGATCCCCACTGCCTTGTGATTGTAGACATAGTCTCCTACGTATTTTTCCAAGGCTTTTATTGTCCTTTTAAATTTAAAGTTTTAATGCTTATACCATTTAATTTTAAACATAGTAGGAGATGGAGGATCCACTATCATTTTCTTTCAATGCTATTTCAGGGGTGTTACCACTATCCTATTCCCATACTAAATTAAACTATCACCTGTGAACCCCAAAAATTTGAGAAAGGTCTCAGCTAATTTACAAAGTTTATTTTGCCAAGGCTGAGGATGTGCCCATGATACAGCCTCAGGAGGTCCTGACGACATGTGCCCAAAGTGGTCAGGGCATACAGCTTGGTTTTATACATTTTAGGAAGACACAAGACATCAATCAACATATGTAAGAACTACATAGGTTTGGTCTGGAAAGGCGGGACAACTTGAAGCAAAGAAAGGAAGACTCTAAGCAAAGCGTGGAGGGAACTTCCAGGTCACAGATAGGTGATACACAAACAGTTACATTCCTGTAAGTTTCTGATTTGCCTTTCCAAAGGAGGCAAATCAGATATGCATCTATCTCAGTGAGCAGAGGGGTGACTTAACAGAATGGGAGGCAGGTTTGCCCTAAGCAGTTTCCAGCTTGAGTTTTCCTTAGTGATTTTGGGGGATATTTTCCTTTCATACACCCATCATATGGTTGGTTATCATATTTGTATCATGTATTTCCTTTCTCAAATATTCTGGGATATATTTGTGTCCACTGATTTATTTGCTTCCTCAACATAGTACAACCATATTAAATTGGTTGCAGGCACTTTATAATATATTCTGTCATTGTTCTTCAGGTATTTGCAAGCATTTATGGTTACTCATAAATTTTAAGACCATCTTATACAATTAAAAATTTATGCGGTATTCTAAATAGAATTGTATTAAATTTATGTTAATTTGGGGACAATTGACCTTTTTATAAGAAGTCTTTCCAGCTAAGAATATTATTTTCTTTTCCATTTAATAAGATCTTGTTTTACGAGTTTCAAAAAAAAACTCATGTAAATTGCGTGTGCCTTTTTCCTGAACTCATTACTAAGTACTTTTCAGTATATATTTACTATAGTTAATTATTTCCACAATAAGTTTAGCTATATTTTAAGTATTGCCATAGTAGAAAAAGGTATTAATTTACTTTTCTTATCTCCATTATATTATCCAATTTACTGATAAATTGTATAAGTCTTTATAAATGTATACATAGTTTATTTTTCTGTTTCAGGCATTTTATAGAAATGTAATTCATCAGCAAAGATAGCATTTCATTCTAGTTTTTCCAGACTTATTGAATGTTTAAGAACTTTTAAGGCATGAATAATGTTTACAATAGATATATCAGTTATCAATTCAATTCAAATAGCTTCATTTTTAACAAGACTATTAACTTAATGTCATATTTATATACCTTATGAATTTTACCTTTTCAGAATTTCAAATATTTAAGAAATGTAAAAAGTGATTAATTTTATTAAAACACCTGAGATCCACTATGAAATGTACTCCATGACTACTGTGATATAATTGCCTATATATATGGAATTAATTTTTAAAGCCTCTATATCATATCTTATTAGTGCTGTTTTGGACATTTTCTTTATACTGGAACTTGCATCTAGAGCTGCTGAATTTTGTCAAATACATTTTACTATTTATTGAGATGATTTAGTTTGTTAATATAATGTATTAAATTATATATTTCCAGATATTAAACTTCCATTCCTTAAAAAAAATCCTGCTTTATAATAGTGTATTATTTTTTGACACATTCCTGAGCCATTTGTTAATATTTTGTCTATAGTTTCACAACTCCTTTTATAGTTATTAAAGCAATACTGGGTTCACAAAAAAAATGGACTGGAAAATAATCCATCTTTTCATATGTTACTGGATTAGTTCAAAAGCCATTAGAATTACTGTTCTTCAAATCAAAGTGAAACCAAAGATAAAACTCAGTGGGGAATCTATCAAGTCCTAATTATTGATCAATGGTAAATATCATCCTTCCTATTTAATTGTGGTAATTTATTTATGTTTCCTACTTCTTGTATAAATTTTGATTATTTATATTTATTTTCCTGAAAAATATTCTGCCTTCTTCTGATTTTCAATTTTGTTGAAACAGAATTGTATATAGTGTTCTAAGTCTTTGCAATTTTCTCTCTAATTCTTGGGCACTCTTTGATGTCACTTGGTTGGCTCACTGGAACAATGGTCTGTGCGGGGATACCTAAAGTCCTGTAGGTGGCAGAAGCAAAGTGGTCAATATCCCTAAATGTCAAGGTTGGCACACTGTTAGTTTCCTGTTGAGACACAGAAAGTTTCTGTGCACTCTGATCCCCAAAACTCATCAAGCTCCACTCATCCATTCAAGTCCTTGGATACTTTGGGGATTAATGGGGATCTTAACCACTTACATGAGGTCAGTATTGATCTGATCACTGGATGTCACATATTCATCTTGTTCAAGCTCTCCCTAAGTTATCTAACTTCTGGTCCTCACCTCTAGATGCATATGTGATTCTCCAGATATCCCTCAATCCCATGACAGAGAAAACTTCACACCAATTTTCTTAGTCCCTCCACCATAGTCTGCCAAAGCCTGAGGCTTTATGTATACCCATCAACCCCATCAACTCTCTGGCTCAGGAAGTATGAGAAGCCCAGAGGTGAAATAGACACAAGGGAGCTATTATCAGGTTACCACGCTTGCTGAATGGTCCCAATTTTATCATAGACATAATCACTGTTTATGTGCAGTGAGTTTACTCTGGGAGTTAGGATGAAGGTTGAGATTTAATCAGTTGAATGTAATAATTTAAAAAATAATAGTAATTGAATGTAATAACTTAAAAGGTAATAGTAAAATAAAAAGTAATAGTAATCTCCTCTATTAAAAAGTAATAGAGGAGACAATACCTTTGCATATGTTTCCAACTCTATCTAATGTCAAAGTATTATACCATGGTTCAACTAGTCTTAAAATACCCATTCCTCATTTCTCTGATCTGTTAAATGGCAATAATGCTAGTTTACATATCATGGTATTGTTGTGAAGATTAAATGAGTTAATCCATGTAAAACACTAAATAGCATTTATGGTGTGCTCAAACATGTATCAAATATTTTGAGCACCTACTAAGTGCCAGGCATTTAAAGAACAAACAGGACAAAGTCTGTATTCTCAAGAAGCTTTCCCCAATACCAGCAATCAGATAAAGATGTCTGTTCTTGCTATTTCTTTCCAGCATTATGCTGGAGGCTCTAGTCACTAAAGTAAAGCAAGAGAAAAAAAATTAAAGGCATCCAGATTAGAAAAACAGTAACTTTTTATCTGTAGACAACATGATTAGGTATAATAATCCTATTTAACCTATAAAATGTGCTACCCGACTTAATAAGTTAATATAGATACCAAGATTAATATAGAAAAATTCGTGTTTTTATAGTAGAAATGAACAATTTAAAGTTGAAATTAAAATATTATTTTGTTCACATAAAAATAAACACTTATGTATTATATTAGTCAGAATTCTCAAGATAAACAGAAGTATATATTCAGAATATATATATCATATTATATATATGGGCAAACTATATATATGTGCATATACATATACATACACACACAGTTACATGTATATGTGTATATATATGCAGTTTTACATATACATGTAAGCATTTTCTCTTTTTTATTACTTTTTAAATTACTGCATTCAACTGATAAAATCTCTACCTTCATCCTAACTCCCAGAGTAAACTCACTGCATATAAACAGTGATTATGTCTACAATAACATTGGGACCATTCAGCAAGCATGGAAACCTGGTAATAGCTCTCTTGTGTCTATTTCAACTCTAGGCTTTTCATACTTCCTGAGCCAAAGAGTTGATGGTGCTGATGGGTATACATAAAGCCTCAGGCTTTGGCAGAGTATGGTGGAGGGACTAAGAAAAGTGGTGTGAAGCTTTCTCTGTTGTGAAACTGAGGGATATCTGGAGAACAGCATAGGCATCTGGAGTTGAGAACCAGAAAATAGATAACCTAGGGAGAGCCTGAACAAGATGAGTATGTGACCTCCAGTGATCAGATCAATACTGACCTCATGCATATACACATAGTTGGCCCTTAGTATCAGTGGGTTCCATATCACAGATCAATAATATACAGAAAAAAATTAAATAATGTGTCTGTACTCAACATACAGACTTTTTTCTTGTCATTATTTCCTAAACAATACAACTACTTACATAGCATTTATATTGCATAAGGTATTATGAGTAATCAAGTATATGAGAGAGTGTATGTAGGTTATGTGCAAATACTACACCATTTTACGTAATGGACTTGACCATCCACAGATTTTGGTATCTGCAAGGAATGTGGAACCAATCCCCCAGGGATTCAAAAGACACTGTTAAAAGAGGGAAACATCCCAGCACAGTCTAGAACAAAATATTTGCGAATTATGTATCTCATAAAAACTTTTATTCAGAGTATATAAAGAACTCTCAAAATTCAACAAGAAAACAAACAACTTCATTACAAAATTGGTCAAAGATCTCAACAGAATTCCACCAAAAACACATGGATGGTAAATATTATATGTAAAGATACTTAAAATCTTTTGTCATTACAGAAATGACAATTAAAACTACACTGAGATACCACTGCAGACATATTAGATTCGCTGAAATTAAAAAGACTGACTATATCAAGTGTTGGTAAGGGTTTGGAGCAGTTGGAACTCTCACATACTACTGATAGGAATGTAAAATGTGTCAACAGAGTAGAAGTAGTTTGATGGTTTCTGGAAAAGCAAAATATACACCCGACATATAATCTCGACATTCCAATCCAACCCAACAGCACTGAAAGCATATTCATACAAAGAAAAGTACACAAATGATCACAGCAGCTTTTGTTTGTAGCAGCCAAAAACCAGATACAACCCATTTTCCATAACCAGATGAAAATAAACTGTGATACAGGCATACAATGGAATACTACTTAGCAAAATAAAGGAATTAACTCCTAGTAGTTGCAAAACTGCATGAAATTCAAAATAACTATGCAGAGTAAAAGAACCTAGAAGAAATTACATACTGTATTATTCCATTGTTTATAAAATTATAGAAAATGCAAAGCTATCGCTAAAGGAAATAGATCCATGGTTACCTGAGGAAAGCGGGTCTGGAAGGAGAAAGGATTATAAAGGTGCACAAAGAAATGTTAGGAGACAATGCTTATGGCATGTGTCTATTATCTTTAACAGTGATGTTTCCATATATATACATGAAAATTTTCTCAAACTGTCTACCTTAAATATGTTCAATTTATTGTGTGTTAATTATACCTCAGTAAAGTTGTTTTAAAATTCCTAAGGTTTTTTATTGGTCTGTAAAGTTACACAAGATGAGTAATTTGGTGTCCTCAAGTTAGGTTGTCCACATGAACCGGACACCTCTCATCACATTCTCGGCTACGTATTCATGAACTGTCAAATGGAGGTATGTCACAGATGACCATATATTTTGTTAAATCCTAAAATTTTTTTCTGAAATACATTATAAACTACAGGGTAAAACAAGATATATAAAAATATTAAGGCATACATAATACATAAATGTTATATGTGAAATAAACATTACAGCATGCATAATACATACAAATATGAAACAACTGGCTTGCCTACCTTTGCATTGATTGTAGGTATGTACTGAATGTGATAGCAATTATAATGTTCTTGTTCATGTGTACCTTTAAGTAGGCCAAATTAACAAAGAGCATTCATTAATACTCATTACAATCATATTTAACAATATCCTTAAGAATTAAAAGCCCTAATCCTGTCACTAATTGATTAAAGCAGTATATGTGAATTTGATTAATAAGCTCTGTGTGTTCATTAAGCTATCTACTTGTATGCGGATTCATCTACCAAAAACTCATTGCAATTCAGCAACATCATTAACGCATATGGACATTCTGAAAATGATGGTGGTGTTAATATCATGGCCATCAGCATGAGCACATTAAAGAGTTTTCCCCCCAGGCTTTAGTGAATTAGGTTTTGTTTTGACAAAATGAAAAAGTATTTAATATGATCTGATTATGATTTACAGCCATAGTGCTGAAATAACAGGAAAACTTTATATTCTCCAACTGAGGAATATTTGAATAAATTTCATACTGTAGGATATAATGCAGATATTAAAAAGATTTTATGTATATAAATATGAAAAATATTAAAGTATCCTGTTGAGTGAAAAATGAAATTAGAGAAAAATCCTATTTTAAAAGAAGAACAAAAATCATTCTATAATATATACATAAGCATTCTTTTCTTTTTTTTTTTTTTTTTTTTTTTGAGACAGCATTTCACAATTTTGCCCAGGCTGGAGTGAAGTGGTATGATCTCAGCTCACTGCCATCTCCGACCTCCACCACCCCGGATTCAAGGGATTCTCCTCCCTCAGCCTACCAAGTAGCTGGGATTATAGGATCCCACCACCAGGCCTGGCTAATTTTTGTATTTTTAGTAGATTTGGGGTTTCACCATGTTGGCCAGGCTGGTCTCGAACTCCTGACCTCAGGTCCATCTGCCTTGGCCTCCCAAAGTTCTAGGATTACAGGCCTGAGCAACCGTGCCCAGCCAGCCTTCTTTTTAGAAATAGAAAATGTATGAAAAGCAATGTTAACAGTAATCAAACTGTTAACATCAGTTACTTTAACCTGTGTGGAAAAAGAACAGATTGTATCTTTTTCTATTATTAAAAAGTATATATTTTACTTATTTAATTATTATAAAACATGAAAGAAATATTATCTCTCGAGAACACAATTTCAAAGTCCCAGAAAAAGACTTCTGAAGATAAAAATATCTATATAGCATTATTCATTCAAACTAATAAAGTTAGTTCAAAAATTATATGTTGAAGAGACATAGGTGTGCTGTCCAATTATTACAACAGCACTACAAAGGAATCATCACTATCTTCATTTTACAGGTAAAAAAATTAAGATTTCTTTCCAAAGTCATGTAATTACCAAGTAGCAGAAACTAATATGAACCCAAGTGTGACTCTAAAGCTTGGGCTTCTGACTATATTACTTTTATATATTCGAATCCTACCTTGATACATTACAGAGCATGTCCAGCACTGCAAATACTATACTTTGCCCAGAGTATGCTCATACTTGTGTAAATCCAGCATGGGTTTGTGGGCAAAACAGAAATCATAAAACATTTATCTTCATTTAGAGCATTTATATTACACAACTTATGTGCCTGCTTTTGCCATCTAGAGAAAACAGGTATAAGCTGGCTGTTTGGGGGCTGTTATCCATGTTTCTGAAACAAGAACACTCTCTGTGCAAAGCTTGCTGGCATTTTTAGCTGTTTCTGGTCTCAGATTCCCAAAAGCTACATGTTAATTGAATAATGCTAATTGGCGTAGCACTGAAAACAATTTCTGAACATAATGTGTTGGACCTGGAAATGGATTCGAATACAAGAGATAAATTTGCATGCCCGTCAAACGGTCTTTTATTCTCCTTGAAGGAATTGTGCCTCTTTTCTAAGCAGTAAGAATTGATATTAGAATGTTCTCATAGGTTAGGCCACTTTCTATGTATGGCTTTTATGCCAGAAACTATGTGTTTTATACAGTGCCATGGTCCTTAGAGAAATGATTTTTAAATGTAATGGATTCCCAAGGGAAAGACTCTGCTGACTAGTTGACTATCTGAAATGCACTCAGAAAGAAAATATAGAACTATTAGCAATAGTTTTTTTTTTGAGTAAGCATGATCCTATGCTTCTCCTTTGGTTATTTTCTGTCCAAAAGTGGTAGATGAATCCATACACAAGTAGATAATTTAATCACTACATTGAGTTTTTTAATCAAATTCACATACACTGCCTTAATTAATGACAGGATTAGGGCTTTTAATTCTTAAGGGTATCGTTAAATATGGTTGTTTGTAAGCAGTATTAACGAATGCACTTTGTTAATTCAGCCTACTTAAGAGTACACATGCACAAGCATATTATATAATTACTATCACACTTAGTGACATACATACAATTAGTGCCAAACATACACACGCACACACACACACACACATATGCACAAACATATATACCCATTTACTGCTAAATTGCAGCAAATTCAGATACACAACAGGTCAAATGCCTCTTTTATTATATATGACCAGAATAATATTTATAGTTTTAAATTTATAATATTTTAACCTAGTCTCCTAATTCATGAATTCTGAATAAGAATTCTATAGTATTTAATTAAAGTATATCATTTTTGAATTTAAAATTAGGACAGCACCAATTTACTCATTCATTTATTCAAATAAGCATTAAAAGTCTATTATGCATAAAGCGATGGGCTAGGCAGTGAATTTTCAAAAATGTTCAATGTTCAGTAATTGTTTTAAATACATGTATTCAAAATATCAACTAAAACAACTATAAGAAGTAGTTGAATAAGTGAATAACAACCTGAAGAATCCATGTTTGTAAGATTTCAGTGTCTTATTTGATGTCTATTAAATACCAGTTTTACTGTTTTATCGGTTGAATGTACTACTAAATGTTTTCACATTTCAAAATCATAAATAAATTTTGACAAATGAAAAAGGTCATTAGCTGCTTTAAAATCCTTCAGAACTGCTATAAAATATATTCTCAATGGGATATTAATTAATTTCAAAACTAACATTTCTGTTGATTACCCTTGAGCAACACATAAATGTTACAAGACCATCACTGCTAAAGAGATGACTGGTTGCTTTCGGAATAAAAAGAAATAGAATGGACTGGCTTTTCTTTTTCTTTTTTTTTTCTTAAAGACAGCTATTAAGATATTTAATCTACTTTCAATTTTACTTAAAAATAAAAACAGAACCCTTAAATAATTTACTTGCTTTGTTAGGGAAATTTTACTTTCATAAATTTTTTCTGGGATAATTAAGAACTAGCATAAAGAGTTACTTACAAAAGTGTTCTTAAAACATTGATTATAATAAAATAACTGAAGTACTATTCAATAGAAAAATATATTCATATATATACTTCATATATATGTTCATATATGTACGATATACACAATTCATAATAATTGCAACTGGGATGCCAATCACAGTCTAGAATCTATGGTGGTAGATTTCTTTTATTTTTGCTTGCCTGAACATTCAGAATTTTATAATTTTCTGTAGCATGTCTTCCCTGTTTGCAGAGTGAGAAAAACATTTGTACCAAATTAGAAAACAACAACAACACTGAGGTTTTGTAACTTTTAAGCATTAAGGATATACTTTTTTTAGTCCCTCCCCATTTTATGGGCCTCATAAAATGCAAAGTTAATCTGCACGTCCATAAATTTGTTTCCTGACTCCTATCAACAGGCTTACCCACCCCTCAATATTCATCCCAAAGACTTTGTGTAAATACCCTTGGGAAAGTCACTTTTCTCTGAACCTGAGTTTTTCTTCTCTGTATAATGAAGGCATTAGAGTGGGGTTTTGTACTTTAACATTTAGTATTTTATGATACTCAATGACATTCTAGGAAGTCTTCAGAATATAGTCCTTACAGCCTTAATTAGTTCAATGTATAGCTTTATTCCTATATAGGTGAATTTAGTTTATTTTTCATTAAATAAAAGCATATTCGCTAGAACAGGAACGTTTATGTCTGCAGAAGCTGTCTGCTGCCTTTTGCTCTACTATGCCCTGCCCCCAGAGGTGGAATCTATAGAGGCAGTAGGCCTTGCTGAGCTGCAGTGGGCTCTGCCCAGTTCATGCTTCCCAGCCTTTGTTTACACTGTGAGCTACTCAAGCCTCAGCAATGGCAGAACCCCACCCCCCACACCAAGCTGCAGCATGGCAGGTCAATCTCAGACTGCTGCACTAGCAGTGAGCAAGTTTCCATGAGCATGGGACCTGCCGAGCCAGGCACGGGAGGGTATCTCCTGGTCTGCCAGTTGCTAAGACTGTGGGAAAAGCACAGTGTTTGGTCAGGAGTGTACCATTTCTCCAGGTACAGTCTGTCACAGCTTCCCTTGGCTAGGAAAGAGAAATTCCCTGACCCCTTGTGCTTCCCAGTTGAGGCGATGCCCCATCCTGCTTCAGCTCACCCTCCATGGGCTGCATCCACTGTCAAACCAGTCCCAGTGAGATGAACCAGGTACCCCAGTTGGAAATGCAGAACTCACCTGTCTTCTGTGTCAATCTCACTGGGAGCTGCAGAACAGAGCTGTTCCTATTCGGCCATCTTGGAAGCACAATCAATAAAATTAAACTTTTAATAAAGATACCACTTGGGCTGGGTGTGGAGGTACACACCTGTAATCCCAGAACTTCGAGAGGCCAAGGTAGGCAGATCATGAGGTCAGGAGATCGAGATCATCCTGGCCAACATGGTGAAACCCTGCCTCTACTAAAAATACAAAAATTAGCTGGGCATGGTGGTGTGTGCCTGTAATCCCAGCTACTCAGGAGGCTGAGGCAGGAGAATTGCTTGAACCCAGGAGGCGGAGGTTGCAGTGAGCTGAGATTGCACCACTGCACTCCAACCTGGTGACATGCACCACCACACCCAGCTATTTTTTGTATTTTTGGTACAGACTGGGTTTTGCCATGTTGGTCAGGCTGGTCTCAATCTCCTGACCTCATGATCCACCTGCCTCCCAAAGTGCTGGGATTACAGGCATGAGCCACCACACC
The DNA here is from genome assembly GCF_000001405.40 of Homo sapiens. NCBI lineage: Eukaryota > Metazoa > Chordata > Mammalia > Primates > Hominidae > Homo > Homo sapiens. The sequence continues at coordinate 162,965,269 of NC_000005.10, forward strand.
CGGCCTGTTTTTTTTTTTTTTTCTCCTGCTTTAAAGTTCTTTCCAATGCCTACTGTAAATCATATATTTTATGGCATACTCACTATTTATTAAAATACATGAGAAAATTTCAACCATTTAATTTGTACCTCCTAGGCAATAAATAATTTTTTGTTTCATAATATTCAAAAGCTTAGCTAATAACTATTAGCTACATTTTTGTATTGGTGTCAACAGTTAGCAGAAAGTCTGCCTCACAGTAAATTGACATCAAGCTACAGAAGAAGAAAAACTATTTGTTCTATTCTATAAAATCACTGTAGGATCACAACTGAACGTGGCTTGTGCATCATATCAAGTCTTCTTTGCCTTACCTCTTAGTTCAGTCACTATTGGCAGCCACTGGCCCTTACATCTTGTGTTAGTTTGTTTTTCACACTGCTATAAAGATATTACTGGAGACTGGGTAATTTATAAACAAAAAAGGTTTGATTGACTCACAGTTCTGCATGGCTGGGGAGGGCTCAGGAAACTTACAATCATGGTGGAAGATGAAGGGGAAGCAGGCACCTTCTTCACAAGATGGCAGGAGAGAGAGAGCACACAGAGGAAACTGCTACATTTAAAACATCAGTTCTTGTGAGAACTCCCTCATTAACCTGAGAACAGCATGGAGAAAACTGCCCAAATGATCTAATCACCTACTGCCAGGTCCCTTCCCTCTAACCATGGAGATTATGGGGATTACAATTAGAAATGAGATTTGAGTGGGGACACAGAACCAAACCATATCATTCCATCCCTGGCCCCTCCCAAATCTCCTGTCTTCATATTTTGAAACACAAGCCTGCCTTCCCAACAAGCCCCCAAGGTCTTAGCTCATTCCAGCACTAACCCAAAAGTCTAGGTTGAAAGTCTCAACTGAGACAAGGCAAATCCCTTACACATATGAGCCTGTAAAATAAAAGCAAGTTAGTTATTATACTTCCAAGATACAATGGGGATACAGGCATTAGGTAAATGCTTCCATTCCAAATGGCAAAAATTGGCCAAAACAAAGGGGCTACAAGCCCCATGCAAGTCCAAACCCCAACAGGGCATTCATTGAATTTCATAGTTCCAGAATAACCTCCTTTGACTCCATATCTCACATTCAAGGCATGCTGATACAAGGGGTGGGCTCCCAAAGCCTTGGGCAGCTCCACCTCTGTTGCTCTGCTGGGCTCAGCCCCCAGGGCTGCTTTCATTGGCTGGCATTCAGTGCCTGTGGCTTTTCCAGGCACATGGTGATAGCTGTAGATGGATCTACCAGTCTGGAGTCTGGAGGATGCTGGCCTTCTTCTCATAGCTCCACTAGGCAGTGCCCCAGTGGGAACTCTGCCTGTGGTTCCAACTTCACAATCCCCTTTGCATTGCCATAGCAGAGGTTCTCCATGAGAACTCCCCCCGCTGCAGCAGACTTCTGCCTGGACATCCAACCATTTTCATACATCATCTGAAATCTAGGCAGAGGCTCCTAAAGTTCAATTCATCTTCTGCCCATCCACAGACCCAACACCACATGAAAGACACAAAGACCTGGAGCTTGCACCCTCGGAAGCAACACCCTGAACTGTATATTGGCTCCTTTTAGCCATGAGTGAAGTTGGAATGGCTGGGACATAGGGTGCCATGTACCAAGACTGCACAGAGCAACAGGGCCTTGGGCCTGCCCCACAAAACCATTTTTCCACCCTAGGCCTCCAGGACTATGAAGGGAGGGGCTGCCATGAAGATCTCTGAAATGCCCTGGAGACATTTTCCCCACTGCCTTGGCTATTAACATTTGACTTTTCATTACTTATGCAAATTTCTGCAACCACCTTGAATTTGTCCCCAGAAAATGGTTTTTTTTTTCTTTTCTACTACATGGTCAGGCTGCAAATTTTTCAAACTTTGTGCTCTGCTTCCCTTTTTAATGTAAGTTCCAATTTCAGACCATCTCTTTGTTAACACAAATGACTAAATGCTTTCAGAATCAGCCAGGTCACCTCTTGAATGCTTTACTGCTTAGAAATTTCTTCCACTACATGCGATAAATTATCTCTCTCAAGTTCAAAGTTCCTCAGAACTCTAGGGCAGGGAAAAAATGGCACCAATCTCTTTGCTAAAGTATAGCACAAGTGACCTTTGTTCCAGTTCCCAATAAGTTTACCATCCCCATCTGAGACTTCCTCAGTCTGAACTTCATTGTCCATATCACTATCAGCATTTTGGTGAAAGCCATTTAACAACTCTCTAGGAAGTCCCAAACTTTCCCAATCTTCCTGTCTTCTGGAACAGCCATCCAAACTGTTCCAACCTCTACCTGTTACCCAGTTTCAATGTCAATTCCACATATTCAGGTCATCTTTATAGCACTGCCCCACTCCCAGTACCAATTCTCTGTATTAGTTCATTTTCACACTGCTATAAAAATACTAGCTGAGACTGGGTAATTTATAAACAAAAGAAGTTTAATTGACTCACAGTTCCACATGGCTCTGGAGGCCTTAGGAAACTTACAATTATGGCAGAATGTGAAGGAGAGGCAGATACCTTCTTCACAAGGTTGCAGGGGAGGGAGAGAGCACAGGAAAAACTGCCACTTTAAAACCATCAGATCCCATGAGAACTCCCTATCATGACAACAACATGCAGGAAGCTGCCCCCATGGTCCAATCACCTTTCACCAGGTCCCTCCCTCAACATTTTAGAATTATAACTCAAGATGAGATTTGTATAGGGACGCAGAGCCAAATCATATAACCTCCAGATTGAACTGGGCCCTCTTACTTCCTGTGCAAGCTTCTCTGATGACACTGGTTGCAATGCCTGCAGAAACTGGTTCTTCCCTAGCAGAAACACAATAAAAAGTGCAGGGGACTTAACACCTCTTGACTGCTGTGCAGAAACCAATGCTGAATCAGTTCATTTCATAATAATTTCAAAATATTTACACTCACAATTCCTAATCACACTAAGTTGATAGATGGCTACTGGTATTGCCATCCAGATATCACTAGGAAGTGATCAGTCAACAAGCCATTTGACCATTTCTACAAATTGCTGATGGATTTTTTTTTCTTTTCCTGAATTCACTGGCTAATAAGATTCTCTGAAAGCAATCCATAACCCAGTGGCTCAACTTAGCCTCTAATGCCTTAATTGTACTTTGACATTACTTTTTATTGTAATCAAAATATTCACTATATTAACTTTGGAGGCCAAAAATTCATCTTTGAGAAATTATTACATACGGACTCTTTGTTACATGAGAAACACGTAAGAGACTAATCTCTCTGTAAAATCCTGTTATGGTTTGGCTCTGCGTCCTCACCCAAATCTCATCATAAATTGTAATCCCAACATGTTAAGGGAGAGTTCTGGTGGGAGGTTATTGGATCATGGAGGCAGTTTCCCCCATGCTGTCTCCATGATGGTGAGTGAGTCCTCACAAGATCTGGTAGTTTAAAAGTATGTGGCAGTTCCCCCTTCCCTCTCCTGCCAACATGTAAGATGTGCCTTCCTTCCCCTTCTGCCATGATTGTAATTTTCCTGAGGCCTCCCAAGCCATGTGGAACTGTGAGTCAGTTAAACCTCTTTTTTTGTTTTTATAAACTACCCAGTCTCAGGTAGCTGTTTATAGTAGTGTGAAAATTGATGAATACAGAAAATTGGTACTGGGAGTGGGGCACTGCTATGAAGACACCTGAAAATGTGGAAGTGACTTTGGAACTAGGTAATGGGCATAGATTGGAACAGTTTGGAGGGCTCAGAAGACACGGAGATGGGGGAAAGTTTGGAACTGCCTAAAGACTTGTTAAATGGCTTTGACCAAAATGCTGATAGTGATATAGACAACGAAGTCCAACCTGAGGAGGTCTCAGATGAAAATGAAATTTACTGGGAACTGGGGTAAAGGTCACTCTTACTGTGCTTTAGCAAAAAGATTGTTGGCATTTTGCCCCTGATTTTGAGATCTGTGTAACTTTGAACTTGAGAGAGGTGATTTAGGGTATGTAGCAGAAGAAATCTCTAGGCAGCAAGGCATTCAAGATATGGCTTGGGTGCTCTTAACAACATACAGTCATATGTGTTCACAAAGAGATAATCTGAAATTGAACCTCACGTTAAGCAGAGCATAAAAGTTTGGAATTTTTACAGTTTGACCATGCAGTAGAAAAGGAAAAACAAACAAACAACAACAACAAAAATTATCTGGGGACAAATTCAAGCTGGCTGCAGATATTTGCGTAAGTAATGAAAAGCTAAATATGTGTTAATAGCCAGGACAATAGGAAAAATGTCTCCAGGGTATTTCAGAGATCTTCATGCCAGACTTTCCCATAACAAGACTAGAGGCATAGGAGAAAAAAAATGGTTTTATGGGGGGCAGACCCAGGGCCCCACTGCTCTGTGCAGCCTCAGGACATGGCACCCTGTGTCCCAGCCACTCCAATTTCAGGTGTGACTAAAAGGGGTCAACGTACAGCTCAGGTTGTTGCTTCAGAGGGTGCAAGTTCCAAGCCTTGCTGGTTTCCATGTGGTGTTAGGCTGACTGTGGGTGCATAGAAGACAAGAGCTGAGCTTTGGGAGCCTCAACCTAGATTTTGGAGGATGTATGAAAATGCTTGGATGTCCAGGCAGAAGTCTGCTGCAGGGGCAGAGTTCTCATGGAGAACCTCTGCTAGGGCAATGCAGAGGGGTATATGGAGTTGGAGCCACAGGCAGAGCTCCCACTGGGGCACTGCCTAGTGGAGCTGTGAGAAGAAGGCCAGCATCCTCCAGATTCCAGAATGGTAGATTCATCAACAGCTTGTGCCACGCACCTGGAAGAGCCACAGGCACTCAATGCCAACCTGTGAAAGAAGCCACAGGGGCTGGACCCTGCAAAGCCACAGAGGTGGAACTGTCCAAGGCTTTGGGAGCCCATCCCTTGCATTAACATGCCCTGGATGTGAGACACAGAGTCAAAGGAGATTATTTTGAAGCTATAAGATTCAGTGTCTGCCCTGCTTGATTTCCAACTTGCATGGGATCTATAGCTCCTTTGTTTTGGCAAATATCTGCCATTTGGAATGGAAGAATTTACCCAATGCCTGTACCTCCATCATATCTTGGAAGTAGCTAACTTGCTTTTTATTTTGCAGGATCGTAGGTGGAAGGGACTTTCTTTGTCTCATATGAGACTATGTACTTGGACTTTTGGGTTAATCCTGGAATGAGTTAAAACTTTGGGGAACAGTTGGGAAGACATGATTGTGTTTTGAAATGTGAGAAAGACATGAGATTTGGGAGGGACCCTGGGCAGAAAAATATTATTTGGCTCTGTGTCCCCTCCCAAATCTCATCTTAAATCCTCACATGTCAAGGGAGGGACCTGGTGGGAAGTAATTGGATCATAGGTATGGTTTCCCTCATGCTATTCTTGTGATGGTTTAAGTGCGTGGCAATCCCCTCACTCCTGTTTCCATGTAAGATGTGCCTTGCTTCCCCTTCTCCTTCTGCCATGATTGTAAGTTGCCTGAGGCCTCCCCAGCCATGCAGAAATGTGAGTCAATTAAACCTCTTTTGTTTATAAATTATCCAGTCTCAGGTAGTTCTTTATAGCAGTGTGAAAATGGACTAATACAGATCCTGAGAAGTGAAAACAAAAATACCACCTCTACTGTAGTATAACTTGACCCATTAATGGAGACAACACTTTCTGTTTAGTTAACAGAGTATTTTTCTCTCTCTAATATTGTTGCATAAAAACTCACATATTCATCATTTTTCTGGCTGTAAAATTATTATAAATATGCACCTTGAATTTTTGCTAGATACGTTAAAGCTTTTTTAAATTTACTTGCTCATGCTCCTAAGTGTTAGCATAAGATTTTATATAACTATTCTCAGTATACCTCCACTTCCACTAGGAATATCACTCTATTTGATACTCGTGAGAAAATAGTATTGTGTGAAGCATGGCCAATTTATGTGGTCTTTATGACATTTTTTTTCAAAGCTCAAAAGGGCTTCCTTTCTTATACTTTTATAGGTTCAAACTGTAGAGGTGTCATTCACCTAAATGAAAGGGTAATATAGAATATGTAGTAACCTGCCATCCCAGGAGATCTTACTCTAGACCAGGCTGTGCCGATCAACAGCCAAGGAATATTTTGAAATGACATTTGTCTCTTCTTATTCTGCTCAGAAAAAAAAAGAACAAAAACACTCATTTATTGGAAATAAAGTATTTGAACCCTATCTGAGAAATATTCATTTATTGTTTATATCCACTATTTAGTTGAAGAATAGTAATTGCAACTGATTACTATTCAGGCCTGCACCACCATGCCATGATTTTTGTATATTTTATAGGGACAGGGCTTTGCTATGTTGCCCAGGCTGGTCTCAAAATCCTGAACTCAAGTGATCTGCCCACCTTGACCTCCCAAAGTGTTAGGATTACAGGTGTGACCCACCATGCCCAGCCTAGCATAATTTTTGTATTATCTACTGTATGCCAGTTTGCTAAGGACTGTTTTTCATTATTTCATACTGTTGAAATAAGCAGTTATCTTTTTGAAATGCTTAGGACCAGAAGTGTTTTGAATTTCACATTGTTTTGGATTTTGGAATATTTTATATACACAATTAGATATCTTAGGAATGGCACCCAGGTCTAAATATGAAATTTGTTTATGTTTTGTATACATCTTATTTATATAGACTGAAAGTAATTTTTTATAAGATTTTACATAACTTTCATTCATGAAACAAAGTTTTGATTGTGTTTTGACTGTGACTTCTCACATGAAATCAGATATGGAAGTTTTTTACTTATGGTGTCATGTCGGTGCTCAAAAAGTTTCAAATTTGGGAGCATTTTAGATTTCAGATGCTCAGATAAGGGATTTTCAATCTATATGATGCAATCCCCATATTGTAGATGAAGAAATTAAGGTTTAGTGAAGGTGTATATCTTACCTCAGGAGGAATCTGCATTTGAAGAAACATCTTTCTGACTCAAATTCACACTAAGTTATCCTTGAACCATGGTGTGAATATGTTACATTTATTTATTTATTTTTTATTATACTTTAAGTTTTAGGGTACATGTGCACAACGTGCAGGTTTGTTACATATGTATACATGTGCCATGTTGGTGTGCTGCACCCATTAACTCGTCATTTAACATTAGATATATCTCCTAATGCTATATGCCCCCACTCCCCCCACCCCACAACAGGCCCCAGTGTGTGATGTTCCCCTTCCTGTGTCCATGTGTTCTCATTGTTCAATTCCCACCTATGAGTGAGAACATGCGGTGTTTGGTTTTTTGTCCTTGCAATAGTTTGCTGAGAATGATGGTTTCCAGCTTCATCGATGTCCCTATGAAGGACATGAACTCATCCTTCTTTATGGCTGCATAGTATTCCACGGTGTATATGTGCCACATTTTCTTAATCCAGTCTATCATTGTTGGACATTTGGGTTGGTTCCAAGTCTTTGCTATTGTGAATACTGCCACAATAAACATACGTGTGCATGTGTCTTTATAGCAGCATGTTTTATAATCCTTTGGGTATATACCCAGTAATGGGATTGCTGGGTTAAATGGTATTTCTAGTTCTAGATCCCTGAGGAATCGCCACACTGACTTCCACAATGGTTGAACTAGTTTACAGTCCCACCAACAGTGTAAAAGTGTTCCTATTTCTCCACATCCTCTCCAGCACCTGTTGTTTCCTGACTTTTTAGTGATCGCCATTCTAACTGGTGTGAGATGGTATCTCATTGTGGTATTTATTTGCATTTCTCTGATGGCCAGTGATGATGAGCATTTTTTCACGTGTCTTTGGGCTGCATAAATAAATGTCTTCTTTTGAGAAGTGTCTGTTCATATCCTTCGCCCACTTGTTGATGGGGTTGTTTCTTTCTTGTAAATTTGTTTGAGTTCATTGTAGATTCTGGATATCAGCCCTTTGTCAGATGAGTAGATTGCAAAAACTTTCTCCCATTCTGTAGGTTGCCTGTTCACTCTGATGGTAGTTTCTTTTGCTGTGCAGAAGCTCTTTAGTTTAATTAGATCCCATCTGTCAATTTTGGCTTTTGTTGCCATTGCTTTTAGTGTTTTAGACATGAAGTCCTTGCCCATGCCTATGTCCTGAATGGTAATGCCTAGGTTTTCTTCTACGGTTTTTATGGTTTTAGGTCTAACATTTAAGTCTTTAATCCACCTTGAATTAATTTTTGTATAATAAGAGCTATCTATGACAAACCCACAGCCAATATCATACTGAATGGGCAAAAACTGGAAGCATTCCCTTTGAAAACTGGCACAAGACAGGGATGCCCTCTCTCACCACTCCTATTCAACATAGTGTTGGAAGTTCTAGCCAGGACAACCAGGCAGGAGAAGGAAATAAAGGGTATTCAATTAGGAAAGGAGGAAGTCAAATTGTCCCTGTTTGCAGATGACATGATTGTATATCTAGAAAACCCCATTGTCTCAGCCCAAAATCTCCTTAAGCTGATATGCAACTTCAGCAAAGTCTCAGGATATAAAATCAATGTACAGAAATCACAAGCATTCTTATACACCAATAACAGACAAACAGAGAGCCAAATCATGAGTGAACTCCCATTCACAATTGCTTCAAAGAGAATAAAATACCAGGAATCCAACTTACAAGGACGTGAAGGACCTCTTCAAGGAGAACTACAAACCACTGCTCAATGAAATGAAAGAGGATACAAACAAATGGAAGAACATTCCATGCTCATGGGTAGGAAGAATCAACATCATGAAAATGGCCATACAGCCCAAGGTAATTTATAGATTCAATGCCATCCCCATCAAGCTACCAATGACTTTCTTCACAGAATTGGAAAAATCTACTTTAAAGTTCATATGGAACCAAAAAAGAGCCCGCATTGCCAAGTCAATCCTAAGCCAAAAGAACAAAGTGGAAGGCATCACACTACCTGACTTCAAACTATACTACAAGACTACAGTAACCAAAACAGCATGGTACTGGTACCAAAACAGAAATATAGACCAATGGAACAGAACAGAGCCCTCAGAAATAATGCCACATATCTACAACTATCTGATCTTTGACAAAAACAAGAAATGGGGAAAGGATTCCCTATTTAATAAATGGTGCTGGGAAAACTGGCTAGCCATATGTAGAAAGCTGAAACTGGATCCCTTCCTTAAACCTTATACAAAAATATGTTACATTTATTAATTCAATTTAAAATATGCATTAACTACCTACCCTACTATGTAATAGATTTTTTAAGGAATTAAGGAGTTAGTATAGAAAAAAAAGTTAAAAAAGACATTTCCTTTCCTTCAAAGGTTAGCTTATAAACAAATCTATAATTACTTAAAATAACTAAAATGTGACAAATAAATGTAATGTGGTAAGTTTTATGAAGAGAAGATAAAGAGTATATTAGGGGTTTTATAAAGGAGACATCAGGAAAATATTCCCAGAAAAATATTATTTGAGCAGGCCTAGATGATAAAATTAAGTTAACTAGGAGAACCAAGGAAAGGTGGAAAAGAGAAAGGATTTCACACATTTGGAAAAATATGAACAGTTTTGTGTTTGGAGTGGACATGGAAAGTAGACATGGCTGAAGAAACATCACTGTAAATGACGTGAAGCAAGTGAGGAAAAGCCCTTAGCATGTGAGGTCCTGTAGACACCATAGGTAAAAAAAAATATTGATCTTTATACTGAGAACAGAGGGAAGTGATGGAAGATTTTTAAGCAAGAGTGTATTTTTGGTGGAAAGACTTGGGGTTTTGGTAGAAGTTGGTAAGACATTTTGTTGGTTAAACGGTACTGTCATTTTACTAGGATTTTACTTATCAAGAATCTTAATTCCAAGTAATTGCAAGGATAAATATTTTTCTATTTTACTAGGTGCACTGAATAGAATAACTCTTAAATATCAAAGCACTTATATGCACATAGATATTTAAACTTACATGTATTCATACATGATATTTTATGCGTGAATAATCTTATCTTTCACCCTTTTTTTTTTGAGACAGAGTTTCACTCTTGTTGCCCAGGCTGGAGAGCAGCAGAGCCATCTTGGCTCACTGCAACCTCCCCCTCCTGGGTTCAAGTGATTCTTAAGCTTCAGCCTCCCAAGTAGCTGGGATTGCAGGCATGCACCACCACATCCAGCTACTTTTTTGTATTTGTAGTAGAGACAGGGTTTCACCATGTTGGTCAGGCTGTTCTCGAACTCCTGACCTCAGGCGATCCACCTGCCTCAGCCTCCCAAAGCTTTTCACCTTCTAATTCATTTTTTATTATGACAGTTGTATTCTCTTAAGATTTTCAAAATTTTACAACAATATTACCTACTTCACAGTCTTAGTATGATAAACAAATGAAAGAAAGCATGTATTATTTAAGGACTAAAATTAAAGCCCAACATTAAGTGGTGCCTTGACACCTGGGAGAAACCAGGGAACCTCATCTGGCCTAATTGCAAGTGTCCTTCTCCACCTTGCTTCTGCTTATAAGGTTCCCTAGCCACACAGCCTTCCTTATCAAGGAGACCAGGAACAGTTCCTGCTCATCCCTGAGTAACAGGTTACCGTTTCTTGCCAGCCCCTGGAATTTTTACAACAAGCCAATCCCATCCTCACCCAGGAACTAGAGATAACTCCAGCTTCTTGGTACTGCAAAGCCTGCTTCCCACAGGCCCTGGTTGTTTCCTGTCTTCCTGTGTGTAGCTCTTGTGTAGCCCTGCATGGCACAATTCCACCTTCCTCTGGCTGTGAATATATGTAACTAATAAACCACTGCTGCCAAGTTCATCTGTTCCATGTTGGATGCCACGTGTTGAGCCATCCTCATAATCCTAGGGCAGAATTCCTGTATCACAAATGATGTGTGCTGTGGCTTAAATGTGTCCTCCAAAAGTTTGTGTGTTGGAAAACTAATCTCCAAATTCTTATGTAGATTAGAGTTGGGACCTTTGACAGATAATTAGGATTAAATAAGGTTACCTGGGCCAGTGTGGGCAGGGCACCCATGATGGGACTGGTAGCTTTATAAGAAGAGAAAGAGAGAACTGAGCTGACATGCATACCCTTACCTTCTCTCCATCTGATGCCCTGCCCCAAGTTGTAATGCAGCAAGAAGGCCCTCACCAGATGCCTGCATCATGCTCTTGGGCTTCTCAGCCTCCAAAACTGTGAGTGAAATAAATGTCTTTTTAAAACAAATTATGCAGCCTGTGGTATTTTGTTGTAGCAACACAGAATGAACTAAGACAACATGAATATAAGATGATTAAAATAGTTTGTGGGGGAAAAAAGCAGCCTGTGCCTGTAAAAGTATTTGAAAGATATTAAGTTCTTTACAAACATAAATCCAACCTCTAAGTTAATCTAGGTCTCCATTTTTCTGCTGTTAGAATACTCTGTGCTGTTTTGTAGATGAGAAAACTGGGGCTAAAGAAATAAAATTGTTTTTCTGACTTTATACAATTACTGAATGCTAAAACCGAAATTTCAAACTTTTAGCCGTCTAAATCCAAAGCTCCTACTATTCCTATCATGGCATATTGCAGTCATTTCTCCCACTTAAAATGTGACTAATAAGCAATGATTAAAAATTACTTTTTTAAAGAACATAAATAATAAAGGAATTATTTTCTTAAAATAATTTTCATGACTCCCATTACACCCACCCTTGATCATAGGCAAACATCACATAAAAAGGATCTGAGAGATCTCTCAAAAATCCATCATTATTTTCCTTTGACACACAGGAATGGAAGAAAGCATTTATTGTGTAAGGCTCAACACACACACATACACATCAAAACACATTACCAGCACCAGCGCTTCTATCACACATCTTTGCAAGTAGCGGCAGCATCTCTAAAAAGAAGAGAAGACTTAGCTCTGGTCAATCAATACAATCAAACAGAATGTGCAGTCATAATATTTTAACTGCAAAACAACAGAATATGTTACTACTGTTACAATATTGAAATTTCTACATGACATCATTTATTTAGCACCTTCTAACTTGGCCCAATATCACAGAAAGATATTTGAAGGAGCACAGTATAGTCTAGTTCCTCGAAAAAGAATTAATAAACAAGCATGATCAGTATTTATACTTGCCTGGGCTCTGAAATGTGCACAATAAACACAGATGGAGTATCTAGAGCACAGAGCTGTGCAAACATCTTAGAGAAACAGAAAAGTGCTAAGTGGTATAGTTCAGCAAGTTACAAAGCTGATGATTTCACGAAATTGACTTTTTTTTTTTGACACAGAGTCTGGCTCTGTCGCCCAGGATGGAGTGCAATGGCATGATCTTGGCTCAGTGCAACCTCCACCATCCAGATTCAAGCAATTCTCCTGCCTCAGTTTCCCAAGCAGCTACGACTACCAGCATGCGCCACCACGCCGGGCTAATTTTTATATTTTTAGAGACAGGGTTTCACCATGTTGGTCAGGCTGGTCTTGAACTCCTGACCTCAAGTGATCCACCCGCCTCAACCTCCCAGAGTGCTGGGATTACAGATGCGAGCCACCATACCCGACCCACAAAATTAACTTTTAATAATGACTTAAAAATGTAGAAATTAATATACTTGCACTTTAGCTATTAGGATTTAAAAGTAAATCTGATGGTACTTTATGTCACCTTCAAAGTGCAATAAATCTTTTACATGTTTAACATTACCAAATACTCATTATTAAGCATTTGCATCTATCTTTGTATTCTATTTATTCTTAGATCAGCTAAATTTTTTTAATATGAACTTACTTACCTATGATGAGTCGGAAATAACATCAAAATTTTCAAAACCCAAATCGACAAACCAGAGAAGCCTTTTCTTTTCAAAAGCCAACTGAGCCTTTTGTCTCTGGAGGAAACACACACACACACACACACACACACACACACCCTGTTTAACATATAACCTAGGTGTGCCCTATATGTTTTATCATCCCAAATTCAATTCACTCTGCTCATGAAAATTTCAGGGAGGAAAATGACAGCTGTGGGAAGGAAGTAAGTACTTGATTTTATTTAAGTCAACAAGTATTCATTGAGTATCTATTCTCTGCCAGAAATCTGTTACATTTTGAAGATAAATTGTAAATCAAAAGCACACAGTTCCTCTCATAGAGTTGATGGTCTGGCAAGAAACACAGATTCTCCTACTACACTCTGGTTTTATCCTGTTTGTTTTGCTTGTAGGACTTACTTTTACTTGTAACTATATATTTGTCTTTTTACTTTTTTACAGTTTGACTCCTCCATCAGCGAATCTATCCTTTAGAGAAAAGGCTACTTTGTTCATCACTGTATATTCTGTCCCTAGTAGATAACTCGCATGTTAGACCAGTACTGTCGGGGTTCCCATACCACCCTTAGGTTCAGTGATTCACTAGAAGTACTCACAGAAGTCATTATAAAGCTGTTAAACAGTAAAGCTGTTATACTCATGGTTATGACTTACTGTAGCAAAATGATACAGATAAATATCAGCAGAGAAAAAAAGGCACATGTAGGAGAGTTCAAGAGAGATCTGGCACAAGTTTCCAGTTGTCCTCTCCCCGGGGAGTCATACAGACAAGCACTTAATTCTCCCAGCAATGACGTGTGACAACATATATTAAGTATTGCCAACCAGAGAGGCATGCCTGGACCCTCTTTTCAAGGGTTTTGGTTGATCAACTCAAAGGGAGTCAATCACATAGGTATGGGACACCCATGGATCTGACCTTGGTTACTTGATCTTTAGCCCCTTTCAAAGTCAAACTCATATAGCATTGGCCAAGGCCCCACCGTAAGTCACAGCGTGAGCATAAAGTACCCGCCATGGCCCAAGGCCCCAGGTACACGAAGATACTTTATCCGGCAGTGTATTTCAAGGAACATTTCAATGTGATCCCTCTGAAGCCAGTCAAGGCCAGTCCTTTCTTTGGAATGTGCAGTGTTGGAATCTCACAAGCCTGATGAATCAAGATTTTTTTGCACATGGACATTTGTTGAATAGTGAGCGAATGAAATGTGAGAAGTTTTATGAAAAACAATGGACAGATTGCTTTAACATTATATAGTAAAAGGTTTAGCTTAATTTCTAAAACCAGAGAAAGTCTTTCTGAGGGTACAGGTTTGGACTCTGAGCTGGAAGACAAATGGAAATTACCAAATTAAAAGATGGCGTATGTGAAGAGGGAGTAAAAATGGAGCTGCCACTGGTAGAAATAGTGTACCAAACAAAGTGAATAAGCATCCTTGAAAAACCTGGAGACACACTTATCATTTTAAAAATACTCTTGAACCACCCATTCTCTGTAAACACACACATTGATGTTTATAGAGAAGAGAAAACACTGCATAAATTTCTTTCAGATGCATCATTTACATTTTATACCAAGAGATAACAATCCCTTCCTTTGGCTACATAGTTTAGATCCACTCATTCCTTAGTCTTCCTTGGCAGTTCATTCATACAAAAAAAAATTTATTGAGATTTACTATGTGCCAAACCTCAAGCAAAGTATTGCCAATATAGCAGTAAACCTCACTTCTTGCATTTAATGAGGCATGTTTATCTAAAAGAAATCATCACAGTTTTACAAATTGTGAGACTGTAAAAGAAAGAAGAAAGTGTAAATGGGAATAATCTGTGGAATCAAACTTATATCATTTAGATTGGGGTGGCAAGGACATCTTCCTGAAGGAATAACCTTTGCACTAAGATCTAAAAGACACAGAGGAATTAGCCAGATATATCACAAATGGAATATGGATTAGGGATTTGGCAGCAGTCCTGGATAAGAGCTCCAGCCCATGGGAAGACCCAGAGCATGCAACGGAGACAAAAGGAAAACCAATATTTCTCAGATGCTGTGTATAGGAGGAAAACTGGTTCAAGACACTGGTGCACTGGAAAATGAGGGCCATAAGATGGAAGTCCTTCTAGGCTATAATAAGAACATGCCTTTAATTCCAAATGTAGGGTTAGAGTAGAGTTCTAGAACTATTCACTGTTTGGAAAAAGTTAGCTAAGGATTATTGCCAGCTGTGAGTCCCACTCCTGGCCTGGACATGCTGTTGCTCATTCTCCAAAACAACACAACATGCACACACACAATATACAATACAGGCTTTGTGCCCTTTAGAGGAAGAACAGTTTAAGCAACATTTACAGCCCGCACTAGCTTTGGGACAGAGAGAGGTTCTGAGTTTGCACAATGATCATTCTTTAAGCCATATTCCCTGGACCAATAGGGTCAAATCACCAACAATGCTAAACGTATAGCTTCATTTAAGATGAAGACTTCTCATGCTGCATTTTCTAACTCCTAGCCCTGCCTCCCTTGTTGTGCTGAGTTATACAAATTAGGCCCTGAAAAAAAATATTTAATGGGGCCTCAATACCTATCTATGTCTTTGAGAAATATAAAAAATGTAAAAGAAATATTTCCTGTATTTAAGTGGCTTGGAACATAATAGGGAAGATAAGATATAGACCGAAGTTATCTCAAGTTCAGCCCCGGAATACAGCAAGAGTCACAGGATGGGATAGGCATCCTTCAGAGGAGGTAAGAACAGAATGAGATCAGACATTGCTTCCTGAAAAAAATAATAGAGTCAACTCAAATTTAATAGCTTCCACAAGAGTATGAAGTAGGTAAATAAGGATAATTAGCAGAAGCTCTTAGAGGATATAGATGGCAAGGTAGATAGATTGGTTGACTTTAGCCTCTACTGGTGAAGGCCAAACTCCTGCTTCTCTCCACATTTGCTAAGAATAGTTTAAAAGTTCCCCCTTTCTGCCATGGGACACCATCCACAAAATACCCTGTGTCATTAGAGTAGTTTGAGCAATAGCTTTAAAGCAAAGCCAGCCAAGGAAACTAAAACTGTATCGAAAAACCTAAATCATATACTGCCAAAAATGATGGAAATGTTTTACATTAGCAAAGCGTTTCAACTATGATTTCAAGAAGCCCAAAGGATAAAAGATGCATGAACCTCATTGCAAGAGGGAAAAAGGCTGACTGAAAGTTCTTTGAAAGAAAAAGTAACCAAGGGCGGTGACTGAAAGTTTCAAATTGCCCACAAGGTAAGTCTCTCTGTGGTGCTGTTTATATTGTGATATTAAATTTTTCCTAAACAAAACAGGAGACAAGACTTGAGTTCCTTGTACTCAAAATGCAAATCCTTTCAAAATGACACTGTGATAGGTTAAATTCCTTATTCTGTATTTGAAGAATTATTGAGAGGCCCTTAATAGAGGTGGCAACACTGAAGAAACATTAAAAATTCAGTTTCTCTCATTTTTATTTGCAGCAAGAGAATTTCTTTGTATCTCCCAGACGTTTTTGTTTCATATCTCCCTACATTCTCACCCCTCACTGTTTGGTTAAAAAAACAGAGCAGAGGGGCACACATACATTTAACAAATATCTCCTGAGCACTTACTAAGACCGGGGAATTCCATAATGAGCTAACAAGGTCCTGCTCACATGGCACATGTATTTTTCACGGTTCTCACATTCTAGATACTTCATCAAAGTTATCTTGTGAAAAACTTTTTATTATCCCAATAAAAGTTGGTTTGCCACCAATGTTTTACCCTAAAACACATTAAGAACCTAAACTGCTTTCCCAAAACACGTGAGGCTTCTGAGTGCAGGAAGTACCTGTCCGGTACGGAATAATGGGACCTTCAAAGAGGTAAAAGAGGACAAAAGGACTAGGAATTGAAGAAAAGGGAGAACAATCAAAGAAAGAAGGGAATTCTCTGGTGCCTATCCAAGATGGATTCTGAATGAACAAATTACTGAATGAGAAAAATAAAGAATTGGTGTGTACCATATGTGGGGAATATAGTGAATTGTATTAACACCACACCACATGTTATCAAAATAACCACAGGGCTTATATTTAAGGGACTTATGTCTTTCCTTCCTCTTGACCCTTTCATGGAGGAACATCTTTACTGGGGAAGAATAAAGGAGTGTTCAGTATGCAAAGAGAAATTCTGTTGTCCATACAGATGCTCCAACCCAAATAATCTAAATCCTTCTCCATTGATATTCAACATCCTGACTCTTCAGAATAGAGGGTTGTCTCACAGAAAGAACAAAGGAAGAAAGGACGTGAGGGAGCAGAACTCTTCTGCTAAGCATCATTCTGTTCACTGTGAAGTAGGCATTGCTTGGGGCACTCACAGAGATTCAAACTCAGGCCTTATCACAGAAGGCTGCCACCTTGAGGGGATGTGACATACACCATTGGCCTAGTCCATGGGAGAGAGCCATAAGAGAGACACAAGTTATACAAGAAGATGTTACCTCTGTTCTGCCCTGGGAGACAGCAGGTTTCATGTAAGCAGACTTACACACTTCATGTAAGTTTCACGTAAGCTGGTGTTATCTGAGGTGATAACACCAGCACAAAGGTACAGAAGTAGATGATCTCAGACTAGGCTAAAGAGAGCCCTCCAGCCTCCCTAGGTTACACGATATTGCAGCAGCCTTACCAATGAACATAGTGTTTGAGTTTTGTTTTCCAAAGTAGAACCTGGAGTTCTTTGTCTCACCACCAAGAAAACTAAGGAGTGTGGCCACGAGGGTAAGGTTGGAGCAAAAGTTTAACAAGAGAAAGGAGAAAGCTCTCAGCAATGGAGAGGGAGCCTGAAAGAGGGTTGCCATTCTAAAGTTGAATACTAGGGATTTTATAAACATACTAGTAGGCTGAGATATTTCATTTACATAAGGTGCAAAGAACTGGTTAGGACTAGGTATTTCATTTACATAAGGCATGAATTCCTGACAGCTCCTTCCTATCCTTTTAGTGCACATGTGGACTCACCCTAAGTTACTCCATGTTGTTTAATTTCCCTTACTGCATATGTGTAAGGGGGTGGGATTCCCCATTGTGGATGTGCTGGGTTCTATGTTACTCCTCTTAGGCATGGTTCAAGCAAGCCCCCCTTCCCCCTCCCCTGCACTAATGCCCATATCTGAGTATGTCCAGAAAAGGAAATAAATGTGCTCACTGAAGCCTACCATGTATATGTGACCCTTACTAGTTAACTTACACAGAAAGCATCTTATGGTAGACCTTGCCTCCTTATCTATGCTTGCAGCCTGATCTTTCAAGCTGTTCCTTTGTTAGAAAAAAAGGAATTCTACCAAGGACTTGTCCTAGCTATCTGCCTAACTAATTCCTTTCTCTCTTTTCCCTCAATATCAGTAGAATTTTCTGGAAGTGAGGACTAAAGATATAACTAGGTTTCAATGTTTGGAAGAGAGTGTAAGAAAAGTAAGCATCTTGAATGCTCAGAGGAGGAGCTGAAACTCACTGCAGCAGGAAATGTGAAATTACCCAATGTTTGTCATTAGAACAATGAGGGCAGGATCAATAATTTCCCCAGAAAGGAGAATTTACTATTTCTAAACTCATTTATGGTAGGATAGGAAGACTTTAACTAGACAGCCTGTGAAAAACATAACTTTATATGGGTTATCTGAGAAAGGGGAAGTTGACATTCATGGCTCAGTTACTTCCGTTAGGACTAAATTGGATTATGATGGGAAAATGCTACTGTGATGAGAAGAAAAAGCCTTACAGCAAGTCATTTGTGTTTAATAAGAATCTGATGCTATTTATCTAGAATAAAACATTCTCCCAAATTAGATAATATAAAATATAGCAGATCTTTAGCTTCACCATTATTAGATAATTCCAAATGGCATAAGGAATCCCTAATTCTAATCCCAGCAGGGCTCTGAACGTCCCCCTTGAAACTACATATAAAGCTCACTAAGAACAGTCTTTGGAGTAGGACAGCTCTATAGTAGTTGTGTTACTTTAGGCAAGCCACTTAATCTCTGAGTGTCATGTAGTTAGAAAGCCAGGTTAAGTATCACCTTTGGATTGGGCATCAGGCAAGCACTGAAGAATAACAGGGAAACAGGCAGATAAAATCCTTGACTTCATATTCTTTACATTATAGTGGGGATTTTTTTTAAGGGAGTGACAAACAATGCCAGTTTTTAAAAAATGCAGATTTTACGAATTCTATGTTATGCATACATTATAGGTTGTTGTGAAGATGATATAAAATCATGTAGATAATCCCTTCACCTGCAGTTACATATGTTATGTGTCTTAATTATCACTCATATTGTTAGTGACAATGTGAGCATCAGAAAGTTATTTTTATAGAAGCCACATGGAAATATAACTTTTGTTCAAGTCTAAAAAAGCCAAGGAAAAAATAGTTTCAAAGCAAAAGGAATTATAGTTTCTAACAAGGATGCCATAAGTACAATGGAACTGTCACAGTGCAAAAAATGTATTTTATTATTTTTAAATGACACCTACATGGCAGACATTATTCCGTTTACCTAAGAAAGTGCTTTTGCCATTTAATCACAAAATCAAGATCTAGTGTAACGGTAACTAGCTACTTTGGACAAAAGATAAGACAAGAGGCAGGTTAATTACATTTCATGGGGATTGGAACATTAAAATAATCTAAGGAGAAATTTACCCTCTGGACAAAGATTTAGGGGATAATAACCATTTCACTAAGTAATAAATACATCCATGGAAATGGGGCCATGTTAAAGAAAATACTGCAATTCACAAAGACTCCATTTTGTGAAAGTTTGGAATGTAAAGAAGACAGTATTAAGGAAAATAAAGTGAGCAAATGAAAACAAACAAAAAACCTGTGAGCTTTATAACAATCGAAAAAGTAAGCTGGAAAGATTTAAAAATCAAAGGCTTTATTAAATTGTGGCCTCCTCGAGTCCTCTAGGACTTCTAAGTTAAGGACTAGAATTTTCTCTGTATTCCCTGGTTCGTTCTGCGTACAGTGGGCCTTCAGGAAACACTTATTGGGTAAACTGAAATTTCTGGCATTTGTAAACTCCACTATACATGTTAATAGTTCAATAGCATAAACTGAAAACATTGCTTAGTCATTCATTATGTAAAGGCCTCACATGATACACCACAGTTTTATGAATAAGCCAAGTATTTCAACTGTAATTTCATCTGACACGAAACTTGAATGAATTTGTGCTATTTCCTCATACTTTTTCCTGTTCCCTTCTAACAGTTTTCCATTTTCAGCTGTTAAGAGGTGACCCACCACAGAACTCAGTCTGAGCCTCCAATGCAGCTCACTATATTT
Source organism: Homo sapiens (assembly GCF_000001405.40). Taxonomy (NCBI): domain Eukaryota; kingdom Metazoa; phylum Chordata; class Mammalia; order Primates; family Hominidae; genus Homo; species Homo sapiens. Next base: position 162,985,486 of record NC_000005.10, read on the forward strand.
CATCTTCAAATAATATTTTAAATAATTTGGTTTGATTTTCTGATGTTGTTAGTATCACGTGTGGAGGTGGAGGCAGTGGTGCTGTCTGAAAGAGGAAGACTACTAAACGAATAGTCAGTTTGCTGAAGCATAGGCTAAATAATGTTGTCCCCAAAGGAATTCAACATGTAATTAATTGCTAGAAGTTTCCATGGAACTCAATATAATAGCAATTTTCTACGTTTTATGTATTTTCTTTTTAGAGACATGATCACACTCTGTCCCTCTGGCTGGAGTCAATAGAATAGTTCTTAACACGTATTCAATCACAACATTTTCACACCAAATGCCCAGCATGGTACTGGCAACATAATCCAAGCCACTATCACCATTAACTTAGACCATTGCAATAGTCTTTTATATGATTTTCCTGTTTCTGTTACTATGTCTCTACAATTTATTTGCCACTGAATGGCCAGAATGATAATTGTAAAACATAAATCATATCACACTGCTCTGTTGTGTAAAATGTTCTAGTGGTTTAAACTGCATTTGGAATCAATCCATATTCTAAACTGTGATTTTCGAGGCCCTATAGGATCTGTCTCCTGCTGACTTCTCTAACTCCAAGTTATACTAGGTATTTGAGTTTACTATACTCCAATCACACTGTCCTTTTTATTGGCTCTATTTCTATTGGATGCACCAAGTGCCTCTCTTCTTTAGAGCCTTTGCATCTGTTTTTTCCTTTGCCGGAAATGACCTGCACTAAGATCTTTCTAATGAATGCCTTCTTATTCATGTCATTTCTCTGCTGCTTGTTCAAAGACAAGTTCCTTCAGCAACCAGTCTAACAGAGCTGCTATTTCCGGAGGTCACGGTCACATCTCCCTGACTTATTATGTTCATACATTTATCACTGTCTACAATGATTGTCTTCAAGTATTTATCTATTGATTAAACACCTCCCCAATAAACCTTCTAAGATTTTTAAGACCCACTAATGTATGCTTAAATATTTAGAAGTTTAGAAATCAAGTGATAAAACTGCCAAGTAAAATATATTCTACCTTCCTGCCTTGACAAAAATGGGTTGGTAAAGAAAGGCCAAGTTCAAATGTAGAATTTTTGACTGCTTGGTGTTCTATGCCAGAATATAACAGCATGGGAGAAGGAGACTAACCCTTACCCATAGCCCAACCCCTTTTTCTTCCCACCCTTGACATTGTCTCATATAAGAATGGGCCTCATGTTTGTATGTAAGACACACCAGTGGATATAACCATGGTCCATCTACAGTGTCCATCTCATACCCCAGGCAAACTATAATGCCCCTGGCCACTCCTCAGATGTAGAAAGGGGTACAACAGTGGTATACTTTGCCTTGTGCATATGGACCCAGGAAATAGTCCTGTGCACTCCCTAAAAGTATAGGCTTGAAGTTGTTTGGGCAGGGAATTCAAGTGCCAGTTGCCTAGATCATGATCTCCAGAGAAGAGCAAGTGGCCATTCAGACTCCTTGACCAGTAGTGAGAGATGTGCCAGATCAGGCCAGAGTGCGTTCCTCTTATTTGTGAGGGCCAGGGCATGGGCTGGCTGGGGAATTTTAGGAAGAGATTGAAGTCTCAACCCCACTCCATCCCATCCTAATCAGAGTACAAATACCAAAACAGCAGATATATTTTGTTTTCGTATATGTTTACTTTAGTAAACAGTTTCAGGCACTTAATATATGCTTAATAAATATCTGTAGAATAAATAAATATTTGGCATGCAAATATTTATATAAATAAATATAATGTTTTAACCTCAGAACATTCTTGAGTATGGAAGTATGGAGATACTTCTATCCCCATCTTCCTAGTACAACAACTTGAATACAGTCAGGAAAAAGAAGTGAGTTCAAGTTCACACACTAACTGTCAGAACTGCAAATGAGGATTAAAGGGAGTCAGGTATCCAAGAATAGAGACTTACTCATTGCTATGCATCAGATTGTCAATTCCGTACAATGCAATTGGTTTTTTTTTTTTTTTTTTTGGCCCTTCAAGTAACATAGGAGAAAATGAAGAATTTTAAATCTATACCTCATCACCAAAAAATGGGGAACCAGGATCTAAAACATGGCAAGTTTAGGAGAACAGATGGTTAAGCTGACCATGGGTCTTCTCAGCAGAGGTGCACCATTCCTGTTGGAAACCCCAGAATCCACAAGGAGACTGAAGTGCTCAGTGTATCTTAAGATCTGCTCTTGGATCTCTCAGAGTCCACTAGAGGGTCTCAACTTACTGGGTGAAGATTTTCCCTTAAAGATGATGATTATCAAAGAATAAATATCTGAAAAAGAGGGTTTCACATTGGCATCAAATTTTTCTGAGTGTATTAGTTCATTCTCACACTGCTATAAAGAACGACCTGAGACTGGGTAATTTATAAGTAAAGGAGATTTAATTGACTTACAGTTCCATAGGCTTAACAGGAAGCATGGCTAGGAAGCCTCAGGAAACATACAATCATGGCGGAAGGCAAAAGGCAAGCAAGCACGTCTCACATGGCAGCAGACGAGAGAGAGAGTGAAGGGAAAGTGCCACACTTTCAAACCATCAGATCTTATGAGAACTCATTATCAAAAGAACAGCATGGGGAAAATCTTCCCCCATGATCCAGTCACCTCCCACCAGGTCCCTCCCACCAGGTCCCTCCCTCAACACATGGGGATTACAATTTGAGATGCGATTTGGGTGGGGACACATGGTCAAACCATATCACTAAGCATGGAAAAGCAACTGGCTCCAACTCAAAAGGAAGAATGTCAATAGTCTGATCACATGGCATTAAGAACCATAGCAATAACAATTATACCTAATATATATATATATTGATTTGACCTTCTCAGTGCTATTAACTTCTTCCCCTCCTCTCTACTGTCTCCCTAACCCAAGGTGCCCTCAGCCCTCACTTAGCCTATTGCAAGATCCATCCCATCCCCCCATCTTGTTTACATTGTAACCAGAGTTCAAAATACAACATACTTATGTCACCATCACCAACATTTCGTTCTTCTTAAAATTATTCAGGGGCTTCTCAAAAATATTAATTTTAAAAAAACGGAATCCATAATATGGTCTAAAAGGCCCTACATGTTCAAACTCCTGCTAGCATCCCCAGTTGCACTACACATTACTCTTCTCTCTCATTCCTGAGGCATCAACCGCCCTGGCCTTCACTACATTTCTCTGACACTCTCTGTTGATACAGGGCTTTTACCTACATTACTCTTCCCTTTCTCTCCCCACCATCCCTTAGTGTCTTAGCTTGTTTGGACTGCTATAACAAAATACCAGAGACCAGGTAGCTTGCTCACAGTTCTGGAAGCAAGGAAATTCAGGATCAAGACCCCAGCAAATTCAATGTCTAGTGAAGGCCCACTTTCTCATTCATAGAGGATGTCTTCATGCTGTGTCCTCGCAGAGTAGAAGGGGCAAGGCAGCTCCCTAAGGCCTCTTTCCTAGATGCACTAATCCCAACCATGAGAGCACCTTATAATCTAAATCACTTCTCAAATTCCCTACCTACCAATACCAACACAATGGTGAATAGATTTTAACCTATGAATTTTGAGGGGGCACAAATATTCAGACCATTGTACTTAGTTAACTTCTATTCATCTTTGGGATGTAGCTCTACTGTCACTTTCTCAAGGAAGTTTCCTGCTGTCTCAGACTAGAATATAACTCAGAGTTATAACACCGAATTGCTTTATTTGATAGCGGTTATCACAGTTAAAATTTCACACGTTTATATGATTACTTAATTCATAGCTGCTTTCTAACCAAGCCCACAAACCCAACTCACAGGCTCCACGAAGGCAGCAGAATGGGCTTGTTTCTGCGCAGTCTTTTGTTTCCCGAGCTTAAAACCATTCCTGGGACACAGCTGGTGCTCAATGAATGTTTCTTGAATAAGAAAATGTGTAGACTGAGCATGTTTGTGTGAAGCAAACTGTGTTCTGCATTTTCTATGTTACAGATGAGGAAACTAAAGCTTAAGAAGATGAATTGTCCTAATGTCATATATTTAGTACATAGACCATGAAGCTGTTAATCAAGCCCACACTTTCTAATTCAGAGTTTCCAGACCTCAAAAATTCTATGTAATAATATATCTGCCAAAATGCACTTCCCCTTGTCTCCCATTTCATGCCTCTTCTTTCTTCCATAGCATAATCTTATATGAAAACAGTGTTTCTGTAGCAATGAAAAATATTCCTAAATTATGTCAATACATATTTTCAAATAGTGAAGTGTGACCATTCTTTCAAAAACATTTTCACTTTTTCTGAGATGGAAAAGACACCCGGAAATGTATTTCTTCATCAACAGGTAAATTGAAAAGTAATGTCAGATACCCATGGTGTTACACTAAATTATTCCCTTTCCTTTCCTAAGGCAAATGTTCTAATCAGCCTCATGCCACATAAGTCTAACACCACTCTGCCCCATGGTATTGAATTAACCTTTACCTGACATTTCTGGGTAATCATTTTGGGAGCCATCCAATAAATCATTTAATAAAATGAAAGTAAAATAGCCTTCCAGAAAGTGCATGTGCTCATTTTAAGTACTTCTAAATGGAGGCAATTGCACTCAACAACAAAAATAGCTCTTTGTACCAACAAACACAAATGAGTGGACTGGCCTTCTACAAAGGCAACAAGGAGGCATCTGGCCATGAACCAGAATGGACTTCTTAATGACATCCTCAAACAAGGACAACTATGCCTGTGGGGTTTTCTTCCCTGTCCTCACCTCCATCTGTGGCTACTGAACTTTGGCAATTCATCAGAAAAACAGATTGCATTTGCAAGGAGATTGCATCACTGTCTGGTAGAATAACTGATAAGCTAAATGGTGAGGAATTTTTGCTATCTCCTAAGATAAGCTGCCTTTTGGGAAGAGAAGTTGGCACCTACTTTATAATACAGAAATGGATGGAGAGTCACCTTGAAGATAATTTTGCCTCTATAAAAGGTTATTCGGATGCCTTATTTAGTTACGACAGTGTAAAGAAGTGGGCACCCATTGTTATGTTTTTGAGTACCTTAGCCAATCTGTTTCATTCCTTGATATTCCAAGTTGATTTCTCAGAATAAGTGAACCGATATGCCTAAGAAGTTGAGAGTCTGTGAGAGAAAAAGGAGTTATGCCTGAAATCCTGATCTTTGAGACCTGAAGTTAGAAAAACCTGGAGGAGTGGTCCAGAATAGCTTCAACCAAGGCCCAGTGGTAAGACAAGAAATAAGATAATGAGCCTTTTGAATAATGAGGCTTTTAAGCTGGCATCCCTGCCTCAACACAGTGTCTGTGAGATTGTAGGGAAGGGCAGATTTATTAGGAAAAAAAATAGTTTGTGGCTGATTCTTCCTCTTGAATAGTAGTTTTTTATTTACTGGGTTATCAGATGAAAAGATTTGCCATTTTACTATGATGTGACCTTTGAACACTCACACAGGCCTTGAAAACATTTTATGTGATAATAATTGGCTTGAGAGAGCCGTGTAGTTAATGGTTCTGAAAGAAAGCACAGAATAGTGGTCACTTAGGAATTTCCCTTCAACCACAACAAAATGAAGATGCTCAGTATTCAGAAAAAGGCTAGACATTCATTTGCATTCCATAAAATAAGGGAAAAGTTTGCATTTCTCTGAAGTGTATACATCTAGATCAGTGGTTTTCAACTGGGAACTATTTTGCACCACTTCCTTGAGATACTGGCAACACCTGGAGATATTGTTTGTCATAATGGGGAGCTGAGATTGGCATCTAATGGGTAGAGGCCAGGGATCCTGTGAATCATCCTACAATGCACAGGTCAGCCCTCCTCATATAAAATTATTATCTGTTCGAAATGTTAATAGTGCTGAGGTTGAGAAACCCTGAGATAGATCAAAAAGGATCATCTCAATTGCACTGAAAGTCATCCTCAGATCTCATTACAAACTGAGAAAGTCAATTAATTCAAGAACTGGTAAAACTTTGTAATCTTTTTATTTCTCAGACAGCTGGCTAATTTCTTCATCCCAGGAACACATTCATCAAGCCCACTGCAGAGAAACTCTTCAGTTGCATTTTCCTACATAATTCCAAATACATATGGATATTCTGGGGGAATCCAGGGGAAGCTTTTGAGAATTTTATCTATGTTTAAAGTGACAAGCAATATTACTCTATAGCGCATTATGGGGAATTTTGTATACTTGGCACTTTAGCAAAATAGAATGAACAACCAAACAATATTCCAATAAAAATCCAGTATTCTTATGTAATATCTAGCTGAAGCTCTAGGCCACATAAACTGGGCTGTTCTCTGATCTGTAATTTAACATGAAGAGTGTGGAGTCTGATCAGGAATTAAATGTTTTGGATCCCAGTCTCTTTCAAATTAACTACCACTGTGCAATAAAGGTTCATATAACTCACCTATGATTAATTATTGGATTAATTATTGTATTTATCTATGGGACTTATTGTGAAAATTAAATTAATTGTGCATATCAAAATATTTAGGAAACTAACAGCTTAACAATAAATGTAAATAATAGTGACTTTGCTTCAAAATAACTCACAAAAGTATCACAAGATGGAACTTGACTGAGAGAGGCATTTTTGAGAATTTTCTGTATTCAAAGTGTCTCTTGTGGAAATTTTGTCCTTCAATATGACATTAATTTAAACCATTAAGTTACTGAAAGACAGGGGAAAAGCTTATGTATAGCTTCATGCTAATTCTGAATCAAGGCATTTTGTTAATATCAATTTTAAGAAAAAGCTGTGTCATAAAGAATAGTCACAGTTATCCAGGATTTCCACGGTTTTACTACTATAGGATTTTAACTGTTGGATGGCCAATTATTTCAGCATTTTGAAATCTCGCTTATAGAAATAAATATAAACATGAAAAATAATGAAGACATGAAAAGCAACATAATTTTTCTGGAAATCACAAATTCATGTATCTAAAACAAAGCACAATAAAACAAAACAATAAATATATAAATAGATATAAGCCATATATAATTTAAAGGTGAATAACTGAGTGAGTCCTAAACTTCTTAATGAAATATTTTTAGGGAATATATGTACCTAATTTAACAGGAAACATACATAGCTACTCAGTAGTCTCACAGTACCTATCCATGCTATAGCATTAATCACATTTGACTCATAACCTTTCTAGCTTGAAGCCAACAATACACTCTGTTCAGTTATAGACCAATGGCTTATAGACATACATAACTTATTATCCTAAGTGGGTAACTAAAACTTGTATAGGCTTCAAATGATTTACATTTTCCCATGCCTGACCTGCTACACATGACATGCTCTTGGTATTAGAGATAAGATTTTGGCTTTGTTTTTCCTCTTGGACATTAGTGAAAGAATCGTATAGAAGCTATACAAGGCAAGAAGAAAAGCAGCCTTGTGATGGGGTTTGTCTAATATAACTTTTATGCTGCAATATCACATTATCAATAAACTAAACTCACATGCTTTAAGAAGCAATGCTCCATGTTATATCTTAGAAAGCTTAAAATTCTCCACAGGTCTCATCAAAAACTAAAGAGGAAGGAAAAGGGGAAAAAGAAAATTATGCAAAGAATTTCAAGCTAATAAAGTTTGTGGAATATGGTAGGTAATGAATAATGTTAACTGTATTTAATACCGTTACAGAAGTTTAGAGTATCATTTAAATTCCTTCATTTCCTGGAAGTAGAATATAGATTATAAAATAATTTTTCTCATAAACTTCCAACCTCACTCCTAATATCTCCATGAAGGTTAACATTATCTCACTATGGCCGGGCGCAGTGGCTCGCGCCTGTAATCCCAACACTTTGGGAGGCTGAGATGGGTGGATCGCCTGAGGTCAGGAGTTCAAGACCAGCCTGCCCAATATGGTGAAACCCTGTCTCTACTAGAAATGCAGAAAATTAGCTGAGCATGGTGGCGGGCGCCTGTAGTCCCAGTTACTTGGGAGGCTGAGGCAGGAGAAATCACTTGAACCCAGGAGGCAGAGGTTGCAGTGAGCTGAGATCGCGCCACTGCACTCTGGCCTGGGTGACAAGAGCAAAACTCCATCTCAAAAAAAAAAATTATCTCAATATGTGGGAATTCCCTGTAGCAAATTACTTTACATACTTGTTTAAATATAGTTTTTAAATATAGAGAGCATTAGTTGACAATTGGAAACACAGTATATACAGAATAATTTTATTTTAATTATATGGCTAGAGAGTATGTGTTATTTGTTGTTCATATCTTTCTTTTGGCAGCCTTCTCTCCTGTACTCCATGTAATCTGGGGAACTAAGATCAAGAACTGTTAGGATGGCATAAATATAACTCTTTAGGGAGCCTGCCTTTGCCCTCACATGAAAAGAGTATGTCTGAGAATGAAGGCAACTAGAAGAAATGGGGTGCCAAAGAGAGAGAGAGATTCAGGCATTACAGTTTCTAATTATTCCTAACAAAGATTTCAATCTTAATTTTAAAGAGCTATGAATCTACTGAAGAGAATCAATCAGGAGGCAAGAATGATCATATTTACACATGGCAAAGATCATGCTAGCCACCGTACAGGACATAGTTTGGAAGAAAAAAAAAAACGTGAGTTAGTGTGTGAATTCCATTTCTGAGGTTATCATTGGCATCCAGGCAAGAAATCAAGGCATCTCTTCTTTTAAGTGTTTCCTGGTCAATATCAAATCTGATCAAGTGTTCGTCCCCAGCCCCTAAGTACTCTAATGATACCTTGTATACTTCCTTCTTCATAGGTATCACAACAATACAGTTTTTGTCTTATAAAGATTTTTCAATGCCTGCTTTCCCACTAGACTCACACATGAGTGCAGGAATTTTATCAGTTGTATTTACCTCTTTTAACCCCTGTACATGGAAGAGTACTCAGTACAGAGGTGATGCCAAATAAATATTTGTGGAATGAACAAGTGAATGATCAAATGAACAAGAATTGACACTAACAGGGCCGGGCGTGGTGGCTCACGCCTGTAGTCCCAGCACTTTGGGAGGCCAAGGCAGGCGGATCACGAGGTCGGGAGTTCAAGACCAGCCTGGCTAACATGGTGAAACCCCGTCTCTACCAAAAATACAAAAAATTGGCCGGGCGTGGTGGCAGGTGACTGTAGTCCCAGTTACTCGGGAGGCTGAGGCAGGAGAATGGTGTGAACCCAGGAGGCAGAGCTTGCAGTGAGCCAAGATGGCGCCACTGCACTCCAGCCTGGGCGACAGAGCGAGACTCCGTCTCAAAAAAAAAAAAAAATTAATTTAAAAAAAATTGACAATGTTATTGGCCTTAGAAACATAGTTTTACTAAAAATGTTAATTATGTACACATGAGAAATAGAGGTAAAATTAATATGTGGCTGAAAACTCATTTATAGTAATATCTTATACATCCACATGAAAAGTCTTCCCCCCCAAGTGCTGTCAGTAAAGTGGATTTTTTATTTTATTTTTACTTTTCTTTTACTAAACATTATACAAACTTTTTTTTTTAATTATTTTTTTGATACGGAGTCTCACTCTGTTGCACAGGCTGGAGTGCAGTGGTGTGATCTCGGCTCACTGCAACCTCTGCTGCCCAGGTTCAAGCAATTCTCCTGCCTCAGCCTCCCAAGTAGCTGGGATTACAGGCACCTGCCACCGCGCCCAGCTTTTTTTTTTTTTTTTTTTTTTTTTTTTTTTTTGTAGTTTTTAGTAGAGACAGGGGTTTCACCATCTTGGTCATGTTTGGTCTTGAACTCCTGACCTCGTGATCCACCCGCCTCGGCCTCCCTAAGTGCTGGGATTACAGGTGTGAGCCACCGTGCCCAGCCCACAAACACTTTAACAAAGAGAAAATTAGTAGAAGTTGCTGGAGAGTGAAAAAGAGTTGGATAAGATATAGGGCAGGTCCTTTGGCTACTAAGTAAAAATGTTGCCTACAAACCAAGTCTCCATCAGTGTAAGATCCTAAAGGAAGCTACAATATCATCTTCCTAATAATCTGATATGTTTTCCTACATTTTAGCTCATCCTTCAGTAAACTGGCTGGATAATAAAGAAATGGTATTCTTCGAAAAATAACTACAGCCGTAATTGAATTTTTCGCTCCCTTTCTGCCACCAGTAAGGAGACTATTGTTCATGGTGCTGAAACTTCAAAGACAGATGACTAAACTTTCTGAAGGCATAAACACAATCTTCGTTCTTCTTTCTGATGCATGACCACAGGCTATTAAGTTTGTTTCTGGATTCATAATGAGCCTCTCCTACTGACTTAGTGAGATAAGGTAGATTTTAATTACTTAGTTTCAGGTTCTGAAATCACATTGAGCACAAACCAGCACAGAATCAAATCATGTTGTGACTGACTAATCTGTCAAGCAATACTGAGTCATAATTTAGAAAAGGTTATATTTTGCATGCACTATTTAGATTTTCCATAATATGCCATTAATAAGAAATTTTATATGATTTGAAAATCTGCTTAAGGTAATATATCTCATCTTTGCATTAAGAAAGCATATGCTATATTTCTCCTGTGATTTTTTAAAAATACATTTGATTCTACATAAAAGTAATGTGATGAATTCTTTTCACATTTGTTTCTTAGATTATATGTTTTGGTTTATATAAAATCTGAAAGCATAGTTGCAACAACAGCTGACAAATGAGATGGACAGACTGTAAATGCATTGTGGGAAAGGTACATGAGGCCAAAATTGCTGACTGTACTATTTCTATGCTCCCTACTTAGCTTCAAAGATGAGCCAGTTTCTGGAGTCGAAATAATTTTCATTTATTTTCAATGGTTAACATGATTATTATTCACTAACAAAGAAAAGTAATTCATCCTTTTTTATTTAGTTATAACTAAGCTACTTTCTTATTATAGAGCTCTAAATTCAGTTAGCAAATGTCCTTTTGAGCTCTGGATGGAAATTACTTAGGCTGAATTTCTAATATCATGAAGATAAATAAGCATTTAAGTGGGTATGACACATGCTTTTAAGTAAATGTCCTGTGAAAAATTATTTTCTTGTAATTAATTATCTTCCCCAGAAGAGATAAAAAAAAATTTTTATTTGGATAAAATCGAGGACATTGTTTATTTGGATTATGGCTCAGTTTCAAACACAAATATATGTCACATTAAGATCTCATTTCTATATGAAAGGAAAAGAGTAAAAGTTATCTGATAGTTAAATGAATTCTTTACAACAACCTAGACAATATTTGGAAACAGATGTTGAAATTCTATGAAGAAAATTTAATACTGTGAAACCTTATCACATGCTGTTCTTGTTCATGCTCTATGACCATTTGATGGGGAAATTAATTAATTTAAATAACATCTATGAGTACTTTAGAAACTCAGTGAATCCTTTGGAACATAATCAATTCTTTTTTATTTTCATTAAGCCTTGAGAAAGTCTATGCTTATTTATCAATATTTGAGCTCTTTTCCTGCACTGTGTTGAGGGGTCCACAAAAGAACAAAAAAAGCACCTTATATCTCTAGGGCTCTCTAGAGCTTGCAAAGGGATGTCACTACATTTCACTTAACACACTTGATAAAAAGTAAGGTAACTCACTGGAAAACAGATTCAGGAGAGATTGTTATTTTTCCAAGTTCAGAAAGATAGTGTCAGAATTGGGACTTCAACCTGGGATTTCTGACAATAGGTCCAGCATGTTTTCCTACAGGTGTTGTCTAACACGACACTTGACCTAAAGAGTATACTAATTGAAAACGAAATATAAACATATATGGAAAAGTTAAATTAGAAATTAAGCACCATGTTACAGAGGCAAAATAAATGATCTGAACTAAATCATTGACTTATACTAAATAACCACTGATATAAACTGACAAGGAAAGAATATTGGACCCTGAGGTGGCTTTATTTTATTAGAAAAAAAAAACCTAACAATTAGAGAATTACAAATAACTTTTTAAAATTTCAGTTTTGGACTTGGAAAATTTCATTGCAACTTTCATAAAGGAAAATCAAAGAATCTTTTATTTGACCAAAGAAACTAACTAAAGGCAATGTACACTATATAAGGCAAAAATGTGATCTTCCAGAAGCTGTAGACATCTAAAATACTATTCTCTATATTTCCCAGTAGATGACAATTCTATAGAAATACTGCATGTGCTATTGTTTTGTTCTTGATAAGCTTTGGAATAGTATAGGGTGGATTAATATTTGCTGCCATACACATCGAAGTGGAAGATGGAAATTAAATTTCTGAAACATTTCCAAATGTGCTTATAGTCCACATTTTGAGAGCAGTTCAACCACTATTTGCCTACGCTCTTAATTTTCTTCCTAATGATAACCTTTAATGGTAGAATCATCCCCAAATTGCTTGGGTCAGAAGAAATTATGTTGCATTTGATAATTCAATTAATTTGTTTACTTAATGACCTGGCTTATAAATATAATGAGGAAATGAAACCACTGGCTAATTTACCATCAAACGTATGGTAGATACATTCCTATTTTTGACCCATAGTCTGCTAAAACTATAAAGAATTATATGAACTGGGCTGACTCTCTAGAAAGTTGCAAATTGAATAATACGGGTTCTTGCTGAGAAGGAAAGAAAAAAACACAGGTTTTCATTAAAAGAGAAAAAGGAAAGCACTTAGTGTGAATAAACCTAGAATTTACATGGCTATTTTTTTTAGCAACTCAAATAAATCTGAGCAAAAGAGAAATTGTCTACAAAGTAAGTGGACTGTATGAGATAGACCCACTATAAAATTTATTTCTGCTCTTAAAAAACTATGGTCAAAAATAATTTAACTGTACATTTAAAAATAACTGAAAGAGTATTACTGGGTTGTTTGTAACAAAGGATAAGTGCAGGAAGTGATGGATACCCCATTTACCTGATGTAATTATAAAACACTGCATGCTTATATCAAAATATCTTCTGTAACCCATAAATATATACACCTAATACGTACCCACGAAAATTAATAATTTTTAATGTAGATGTTACTTTTTAAAAGTTTTTTATCATAAGACTATTCTGATTGCAAGAAGCAAAGTACATTTCAAATTAGCTTACACTAAATAAATAAATAAGCTTATAAGGGGTGAGCCTAATTCAAAACTGAAGAATGAATGAGAGAAAAGTCAATTAAGAGAAGGTTACTACAATAATCTGAAAGAGAGATAATGGTGTCCTCCAGTGGTGTATTAGTGGAGGAGATGGCTAGAAATGAAAAGGCAAAGAGATACCTTTGATGCAGAAATGACAGATCTTAATTGTTGGGTGTTGAGATATGTACAATGAGGGAAGTGACCAGGAAAATTTGTTTTTGTTCTTGTTATTTTGTTTTGTGTGTTTTCTTCTATTGCTTTTATAATTTTACTGTCACATTTAAATCGCTAAGTCACAGATTATATAAGTTGAAGGGAAACACACATAACACAACTTTTAAAAAGAAAAAAGTCTCCCACAGATCGGGAGGTGTATCATGAATTGAGGAGTATTATCATGTCAGTTCTGAGCATCTGAGGGCTTAAAAATAAAGTGCAATAAAACAAAAAGTTTTCAATAGAGAATTAATAAGTAATTATAACAAACAGTCTGTATTTACATTCATGCAGTTAAGCCATATCTCAGATAGTTACACCCTGCAGTTGAAAAAGGCCATAGAGATTACCTACTAGTTCCATCTCTATTTTGAATAAAGACACTGACTTTCAAAGAAGTCAGTTATTAATAGCTAATATGACACAACATGATGTTAGCAGAGTTGAGACAGCCTTGTTTTCCCAATGATCCAATCAATGTTTCTTATACTCTTCCATTTTATTCATTCATTCATTGTTATTCTGGCATGTACTATGTCAAGAAAAGGCACATGTTAGATGTTATAGAGAAGGCCGAAAGTATGTCCTTGTGGCCAACACTCTACAGTTATATTCAGAACACCATAATAAGTATACAAAAGTATACTACAAGAAAACATGGAAGGTCCAAACAAGTGTTTGGATATAGCTTTTGAGTTCAAATGAGAAAAAAAATAAAGCCATGGTTAATAATTCTTGCCAAGCACGTTAGTAAATGCTTTACAGATCTTTTCTCATGTAATCTTCACTACGCAACTCACAAAACAGTTATTATTAAACCCCATTTACAGATAAAGACACACTGAGAGTAACTTAGTAATGTACAAAAGATAGTATAGCGGCTAAATATTCAAATCATGGCAGTGACTCTAATCATCGTATTGCACTGCTCACCTACAGTAGTAGGAAGGATGAAAAAATTTTGGAGAGAACATGAGATGCATAGGACAAAAAGTATGCATAGTACTTCCAATTATGAGAAAAAGGAGCAATATCATGGGTAAAAAAAGCATATTGTAAGTATTCACAGAGATGGCAAACTGCATGTGTGTTTGTAGAACAGAATTAGAAAATTACGATGGAAAGGTAGGAAGGGCCAAATAGTCAAAGGGATTGAGTACCAAGGTAAATTGTTGGGTTTTATATTGTGAGCAGTGGGAGATATCAAACCTTTCTGAGCATAGGAGATGCATATTCAAAACAGGTTTTTACGAACATTAATAGTAGTGCTTTTATTTCTTTTAAAATGACATACTCTTGCATATTTTAAAAGCAAAAAACAAAACAAAAAGACCTAAGAAAGCACTGAAATATTTTGAAAACCAGGACAGCAACCAGACTAGAAATAATAACTAGCCAGATTTGTTTAAAAAGTCCTCATCACCAATTATAACACACCAGATTTGCTTTTTTACCAGCTGAGAAAAAAAAAATGCCCTCACTTCCACTGTTTGTTTTTACTCATTGGCACCATTTTCAATCATAATTACATTCAATAATATTTTGAATAATTGAAATGTTGATTCTTAGTTACCCAAAACTCTTGGTTTTTGTTATAGTATGAAATTATTGAGGATTGACTCTACTTACCAAAGGAATCCCTAAGTAAAATATACGGTTGGAATATTTATCCAAAATCCAACTTGAATTATACATGTTCCAAATACTTCCCATTGTAAAGGACCCTTCTTCTGCATGCATAAATTGCTGAGAAATCAGCACATATTTTATGGTAAAAGATAATGTAATCAAGTGACCGGCAGCCCATTTAAATACCAAAATATTATTCATGTATAAGAATACTTTGCGCAAAGAATCTGTATGACTTATTTTTAACAAGGGAAAAAAAAGAATACACAGTAAAAGGAAATTTTCTATAATGTGAGTGGACTGGGCAAAATAGACCTTTCTAAAGAGTCTCCTTCCTCCCTCCAAAAAAAAGAAAAAAATAGAACACCTATTCTGAGCATTTCTTCAATCCTACACTCAGTCAAGTCGTAATGACTCTACTGGTAGCTTGAAATTGGCCATTTGGGAAGAACATACAGCAGAGATATCAGTAAATGCAACAAATCTGGGCAGTTTTTTATTCCAGAGCCAATTTTCCAATACATAACTAATTATAAATGTTCCAAATGTTTTCTTGATTCAGGAACCTTGATTCTTGTGAAAATATTTGAGAATTTGATGACTGAAATAGAAATCTTATAGAGGACATTTGAAATATAAAAACCAGTTATGTTTTATTTTTTAAAGAACAGAAGTCTTCTAAGATGTATCATTTTCCCTTTGTCATAGGAAGGCTCCCAAAATGTTTTGCCATTCACTAAATATTTTTGAGGCTATTAATGAGAATGCTCCTTAAATCTAATAGTCTTCTCCACTTGTTCTCAAATACTAAAATGCTGATGCTTGTTAAAACACAAACTCCTGAGCTGCACACACTCCGAGAATTTCTAATTCTGTAGATTTGGGTTGGTGGTCAAGAATGTGCATTTTTAACAAGTTTCTGGATGATGCATATGCTCCTGGTTTAGGCCTCATACTTTGAAAACCATTGGATACTTAACCATATTTTATTAGCAACTAGAAAATTTGCCCTTAATAATATAAAATATTTTAACTTTCTGATGAAAATCATTTTAAAATGTAATGGTCAGGCTGGGCACAGTGGCTCACACCTTTGTTCCCAGCACTTTGGGAGGCGAGGCGGGCCATATTGCTGGAGTCCAGGAGTCCAGCCTGGGCAACATGGTGAAACCCCATCTCTACTAAAAATACAAAAATTAGCCCAATGTGGAGGTGCATGCCTATAGTCCCAGCTACTGGGGAGGCTGAGGCAGGAGAATCACTTGAACTCAGGAGGCAGAGGTTGCAGTATGTTGAGATTGCACCACAGCACTCCAGCCTAGAAGACAGAGTGAGACTCTGTCTTAAAAAAAAAAAAAAAAAAAAAAAAGTAATGGTCTACATTCTTCAGAATTACTTACCAGACATAATTTAGTATTTCTTAAGAGATCTCTGGGCCATTAAGTCATCATTTAGATATCAGTTCTCATTTTTCGTCAGTATTTGAAAATCTAGCCTTGGACTTTGTGTCTCTTTCTCTGTCTCTCTCTCTCTCTCTCTCCCTGCTCCCAAACACACAAACAGACACATACACACAGACACACACACACACAGACACACACACACCAAATCTGTTTTGTATTTATTATTGTCCCTTTAAGTTGAAGCAATGCCACTTCACTTTTCATAACTTAACTTTTTGCCCCAAAAGTAGAAATATCCATTTTTCTTTCTTAGGGTTGTTGTGTGAACCAAGTACATAATGCTGGTATATGTTGAGCAATACAATTGACAATGCTCAAGTATTCAAAGATATACTATAATAGTGAATCTGATTTTTATTTGAAAACTGAATTACTTTGCAAAACAAATAGGAAAGATAAAATAGCTATAAAAAATGTCAGAGGACCTTATTTAAACATCTTGAATCTTATTTTAAATACAGCATTATACATACCTCAAAGAATGCCCATCTATGAGTTTATTCACTTATATATCATTAAACTAATATTTATTGAGTGCCTAATATATATCAGGTACTGTGTACTGGGAATATAGCACTGAAAAAAAAAAAAGAAAGACCAGTGTCATGACTCTTAAAGAGTCTACTAGGGCATACAGATATTAATCAAATAATCATGTTAGTGAACTTTTCAGTTAAGGGTGAATAATTTATCCAAAGTAAATTAGATAAATTCATTTTTAGGGCTACTGTGGGTACACATTGTAAATAATAACTGACCTACATTTGAGAATCAAAGAAATAGTCCAAAAGGAAATGATAATCTCATGCTGAAAATAATCTCGTGCTGAAATCTGGAGAATTAACAGGAGTTAACTAGGCAAAAAGAAAACAGTGTTCCACAAGGAGGAAGCACTGCACAGAGCCCTGGGGTGAGTGAGAGGATGCTAGAGTGTTGAAAGCTATGAGAGACAGTATAATAGCCCTGGTAGTAGGAAGGGAGTAGAGAGAAAGATTGAGGAAAAAGTGAGCAGGTAAGGCTGGAGAGATCATGATAAGAATTTTACCAGGCTAAGAATTTTAATTACCTTAAGAACAATAGAAAGGCAAGGGTAGGTTATAAGAAGTAGAAAGAGATATATAAACAGATTTGTGTAAAATATCACTACCTTGGTTGCTTTAGATATACTAAATTGAATAAAATGCATGGCTAAATTAATTTCACTATTTTTTCCTCTTCTAATATGCCTCCTAGAAAACTTAAAATTTTATGTGTGGCTCTCACATTTCACATAGAAAGTCTTAAATATACTTTATTTTTCTCTATTGCTTTGGGCAAGGCATATGAGAAAAAGTCAACAAACAATTGTTTGTTCTTACTATGTAAGATTTTTAAAAAATTCTAAGTACTACTAAACATTTAGATATTTATAAACTATGTATGAATCACACCATAGGAACTTATATGCATAATTCAGACCCCACGCTTAGATATTCAGCCCAAAGCAGTAGAAAAAAATATTCCAGGATAGTATTGCCCATCAAATATAATAAGAGCCATCTGTAAAATTTTAAGTTTTCTAGTGGTCACATAAGAAAACTAAAAAGTTAAATTAATTTAATATTTTATTTAACCCCATAAATCTAAAATCTTATTTCAACATTCAATCAATATATAATTATTGAGATATTTTCCATTTCTTTTCTAGTATTACGTTTGGAATCCAGTGTTTTTCTGACTCTCACAGTGTATCTCATCTCAGAGTATTCACATTTTGAATGCTCAATACCTTCATGACTAGTGGCTGCTGTATCACACACCACAGCACTAGGAGGTGGTGGTTCTGGTATCTTATTCTCCTAACACTAACCAATTTGGTGACCTTAAAAAAGTCACAATATTTAGGTTTCCTTTTGTCATCTATGACATAGGCATAATATTCATTTTATCTGCCTCAAAAAGCTACAATAATAAATTTAAAAACAATTCAATATATTTGAATATTCAACTCAATAGCTCACATTATTAAGAATGATTTCCATCTTACTTTACTTTCATGATTTTTATACCTTCAAAATTAATAATAAAAACAAACACCAAAAAGGATTACTACTACTAAAACAAATATCTGTACTATTTGTACTGTGATAGCTTTAAAAATACATTAAATGTTGTTAGGCTTTCTATAAATTAAATTAGAACTCACACAAATGTCCCTTATGAATGAAGTTATTAGCCAATTATTCAAAAAGAACATACATGGGCATTTTAATAAATTATAAATATCTAATGATGCTCTTGTGTAAATACTGGGCAGGTGCCTTGGCTATGAGAACCACAAGCATTTTCACCACTCAGGAAATTGATAATAGCCTAGATTAAGGAGGAAATTATGAAAAACAGTCCAGAATTTTAATTAACACTTAAACACGCTAAACTGAAATCACAATGACATAACAAATAATGCAGCAACTCCAGATTTATATATCTTTATAGAACTGCTGAAAAGTGAATTTATTAAATAAGGTGTTCAGTACCTTATTTTCTCAGATTATCCTTTTTTTTCATTTTTTAAAAAAGAAACAGGGCCTCATGCTCTGTCACTGCATCTGGAGTGCAATGGTACAATCATAGTTCACTACAGCCTCAACTCCCGGGCTTGAAAAACCCTCCTGCCTCAGCCTCCCAACTGGCTGGGACTAGAGATGTGTAGCACTGCATGTGGCAAAATTTTTAAGAAAACTTTTGTAGAGATGGGGTCTCACTATGTTGCCCAGGCTGGTGTTGAACTTCTGGCCTCAAGTAATCCTCCCACTTCAGCCTCCCAAAGTGCTGGAATTACAGAAGCGAGCCAATGTGCCCAGCCCCAGATATCTCAATGGTATCCATTTGATACAAATGATTTTAATTACTTAGTTGTTATATGCATCATGTGATATTCATCATAAGAAAACCTAAACAGGGTTTGAATTATTCCCAGTAACGCAAATGTGTCACTGTAACTAGTATTTTGTGTGCTAAGAGGGTTGGGTGTTCTGTCACTGGTATTCTTGAACTCTGGATCAAAACTTAAACCCCTATTGCATTTAGAGTTCAGTGCTAAGACTGGTATAATACCTCTCTATAATTTTTTAAATCTGTTATAAATATCAGGCCACTTAGAAGAAAATTTAATACTGTAATCATTCTAGTGCCTTGCTAAAAGTACTACCACCTTTAACGATTCCCATTGTGGTAGATACTGCATGAATGTCTCTAATTCTTTGGTTTCTGTGCACCCATTTTGCTACATGATTTTCACTAATAATTACTGATGAGATTGAATCTATACCCTTTCTCTTTTTGTGTACTTTTTTCTTGTAGCTATTTTAGCCATTTTTGAGTGTACAATTCTGTGGCATGAAGTACATTCACATTATGCAACTATTACCACCATCCATCTTCAGAACTTTTTTGTCTTCCCCAACTGAAACCCTGTGTCTATTAAATATTAATTCCCAATTCCAGTCCCTGGAACAACTCCAGTTCCTGGCAACCACCACTCTACTTGCTATGAATTTGACTACTCTAGGGACCTAGTAGAAGTGGAATCATACAATATTTGTCCTTTTGTGACTGGCATAATTCACAACGTAATGTTTTCAACTTTCAACCATGCTCTAGCATGCATCAAAATTCCCTTAAGACTGGATAATAGTTCATTGCATATATGTACCACATCTTGTTTATCCATTCATCTGTTGATGGACACCTGGGTTACTTCTGCTTCTGGCTTTTGTAAATAATGCTGCTACTGAACAAGGGTGTGCAAATATCTGTTTGAATCCATGCTTTTGATTATTTGAAAATTAAATTCTTTTAATTCTTTGGGTATGTACTTAGAGAGGGAATTGCTGGATTACATTGTAATTCTATGTTTAAATTTTTGAAGAATCACCATACCATTTTCTATAGCAGCTCCATCATTTTATATTCTCACCAACAATGCAGAAGTGTTCCAAATTCTCTGTATCCTTTCCAACACTTGTCAATTTCAGGTTTCATTTCATTTTGTTTTATTTTTCCAGCCTAATGGGTATAAAGTGATATCTCTTTGTGATTTTGATTTGCCTTTATTCTTTTACTCACAAACCTGGCTGGTTTTATGACTAATTTTAGTCAATGAAATACTAGCAAAGTGACTCATGAATAAGATTGAAAATGTGCTCGGGCTTGTCTCTTGCCCTCTGCTGGTAATGGATGGTCCCTGAGTTACAATGGTTCAACTTCACAATTTTTAAACTTTATGATGGCTTTAGCAAGGTATCAAATGCATTTTTTACTTAAAATATTTTTCACTTACAATAGGCTTATTGGAATGTAACCCCATCAGAAGTCAAGGAGCATCTATAGAATGGGAAGAACATACTCAGGCTTGCCTGTTGAAGAAAGGGATATGAGGAACAGAGCCAAACTACTCAAGTCAGCCCAGATGAGGACATCCTAGGTTAGGCAACCGGTAGCTGACCCTCAACCAAACATGTGAGTGAGCTAGCCAAGATGAGCAGCACCTTCAAGCTAATTCTTGTTGGCTGCAGAGGCATATGCAAGCCCAGGTGAGACCACCTAAGCATAGCCTTGTCAGTCAATCCTAGTTCCAGTCAGCAAAACCCTATAGACTCAAGGCTAAACAAATTGTCACTTTGTTTGTTTATTTTGTAGTATTACTACTAACACTGGATAAGTCATACATAATCTGTGGTAGGAAACCAAAAATTAAATAATTGCATGAAAGTCTGATGCTAAAAAATAAATTAAGGTAGAAATATGGTGGTAAGAATGTGACAAAAGGAAAGATCAAGTTGGTTAATATTGCTGCAGTACAGTGGACAGACCAGAAGAATGAGGATGGAAAAGCAATTTTGCTCTTTTGAGAAAGTATGTTTTCCTGTCTCCATTCACTCTGTCAAACCATGGACATTGTGTTTGGCTCCAGAAACCCTTTTCTAAAAATCTATTAGCTGAGAAAGCAAAGAAACAAGGACATTGGTTTGTATCCATGTAAGATCAGGAAGGTCACAAGTCCAGGCATAACAGTCTTTCTAACGGGCAGACTGCAAAATTCTTATTGGCTACACAGCTATTATTTTCACTTACAATCCAATCCTTGTGACCCTGGTCATCTCACAAACTTTGTTCTATTTTATACCTGGCCTACTATAAGTCTCTATGTTTCCTACCTGATCTTTGTCAACATTTGAGTCAGAACTTTTGGTCTGGAATTATAACTTCCATTGGTTTCTTCTCATTGTGTTTCTCAGAAATGCAACTTTTCAGAAAATACAAATTAAACATGACTGGGATGTTGTGGATGACACACCTAGCTTGCTATTAAAAATTGTTTTCTTTCACTATGAAAACACAAGTTCCAAGAGTTTTAAACACAGTGCTAGAAACAATTATAATCTCCACCCCCAACCTTTGCTTTCTTTCTCTGTGATATTTGGCACAGCATTCTTATAGTTGTCATTAGCATCAGTATTTTCACTGGTCGTGAAATGAGCTGTAGAGCACCCTCACAATGAAGCCAAGGGAACGTAATGCCAATTTTTGTTCTGTGATCAATTTGAAATGGCTTGCTGTTTGGGTCCTGACTGAGACAGATTAACAACATCTTACCGCAAAATGCTATTGATCAATCTACTGTTTAAAAAAAATTACCATGGAAATGTGTTATTTCTGATATCTCATCTCCCTTTATTTAACTTTATAGTCTAACATTATTTTCATAAATAGACACCCTTTTCCAGCAATGTCAAAGCACACAATACCACAGGGATTTTATTAAAATGCATTTAACAGTGGTAAACATGCCAACAGAACACTTAGTTTCATAAAGAAAAAAACATTAAAAGGAAAAAAGAATAAAATCTGGACCTAATTTTCATACACAAATATCATCTTCAAGATAGTTTTTTTTTCAGTTTTTATAAAGCTTATGTCATGAGAAATATATCAAAACTATTATTTGACATGTAAAAAAGAAACCTGGTTGTATCTTACTCATCTTAATCTATATAGCAAGAATTTTTAACGTGGGAAGCTCAAGCCACCCAGAAGACCATGTATGGAATTCAGGAAGTCCAGGAACTTGAATGAATACAATTAGATCCCCTTTTCCCACTAACCTGTAACTGGTTTAGCCATTCCTTAAGCTATGAATGTAGGCAACAGACCATAGTACTGTTAAAATCTGTGGTTCTCATCAGAAGAAATCACAATTTTCATATTATTAATACATTAAAGTTGTGCAAATAGTTCAATATATTATTTATGTCCACCACTATGTCAAAATTATAGTAATTAGGTAATCATAGATTCGATTACTAAATGTGTTGAAGAAGTGCATATATTACCATGTCACAAGTTTGTTTTATTATATTTGTGACATGTTTTTAAATATAGGTTTTCTTTTTTTTTTTTTTTTTTTGAGACGGAGTCTCGCTCTGTCGCCCAGGCTGGAGTGCAGTGGCGCGATCTCGGCTCACTGCAAGCTCCGCCTCCCGGGTTCACGCCATTCTCCTGCCTCAGCCTCCCGAGTAGCTGGGACTACAGGCGCCCGCCACTACGCCCGGCTAATTTTTTTGTATTTTTAGTAGAGACGGGGTTTCACCGTGTTAGCCAGGATGGTCTCGATCTCCTGACCTCGTGATCCGCCCGCCTCGGCCTCCCAAAGTGCTGGGATTACAGGCGTGAGCCACCGCGCCCGGCCAAATATAGGTTTTCTTTAATCTTAGGTATTTTATGCCCTCACTAACTTTATTTAGAAAGGGGGGGTCTACAGGTTTCACCAGGTGCCAAAGGGGTCCATGGTACAAGTATTCTTAATAACCTCTGCTCACCGGAAATATATTTACTAGCAGAAAATTCTTGTTGAACATCTTAAGATAGAAAAAATTCAGCATCACATCTAGCAGAATGAAATTTGATGAGTCACTGACTGAAAACTTTGTGTGGGCAGCCTTAAGGAAAACTAAAATAAGCAATATTCGAGGCCACTCTCTTTCTCCTCCCTCTGAGCTAAATACCCTTATTCTGCCTTGTGCTGAAGTTATCCAGTGTGCTCTCGGAAAGCAAATGGTTTCCTCTCCTTTCCTGGCAGTTCTCAAACGTTGAGACTTTTGTCTATACTCTATTAAACAAGGTCTGTGCTAAAAGGAACTGGTAAGTGTGTTAATTATCAATGCCTCAATGTAAAACGTGAGTAAAAACAGAGAAGACACCATATATAATCTTGAGTCCAGAAACTCAAGTGTCTCTACTTACCTGAATTTTCAAAAATTCTAGAAAGGGTCAAGTTCACAAATATCTCCAATTGTGCTACATTTTAGAGCCTAATTTTCAGGTTTCAGGATCTAATAATCCTTCAGGGGTTTCATCAGACCCCAACAAAATTACCTTCCACCTCTACCACACAACTAAAGATATTTTAGGTTTAATTTTTCTCCTCCTCCTTCTAATAGATCACCCAGATCAAAAGGAGCAGGTATCAAGTATGCACGAACGCAGCTCAAAACACTTTACTCAACCACATTCCCAAAGGAAACAGCAGTGATAAATCTTTAGTAATAAATGAAAGTTTGACTAAGCCATACTAATATTTAAGGTTGGTTAATTTCGTGCCAGCCACCGTGGCCATACGGTTAACCCAGCATTGAAGTAAACTTAGATTTTGTACGTAATCTAGGCCATATGTACAGGAGATTGAAATTAGTAAGGCAAGGTCCACTGCAGGTTCCTTATTAGTCCCTTCTCACACTGCTAATAAAGATATACCCAGGACTGGGTAATTTATAAAGGAAAATGGTTTAATTGACTCACAGTTCAGCATGGCTCAGGAGGCCTCAGGAAACTTAACAATCATGGCAGAGGGGGAAGCAAACATCCTTCTTCTCATGGCAGCGGCAAGAAGCGCCTAGCAAAAGGAGGAAAAGCTCCTTATAGAACCATCAGATCTCGCGAAAACTAACTCACTTCACAAGAACAAGATGGGGGAAACTGCCCCCACAATCTATTTATTTCCACCTGGTCCCTCCCACAACACGTGGGGATTATGGGAACTACAATTCAAGATGAGATTTGAGTGGGGACACAGCCAAACCATATTAAGTTGGATTAGGTGTCTTAGTTGATTCCTGCTGTTACAATAAAATACCATAGACTGGGTAATTTATAAATGGTAGAAATTTATTTTTCACAGTTCTAGAGGCTGAGAAGTCTAAGACTGTGGCACCAGCAAATTCACTGGCCAGCGAGGGCCTTTGATGGTGCCTTCTATGTGTCCTCACATGGCACAAGGGCAAAAGGGACAAACTTGCTCCCTCCCGTCCTTTTTTAAGGGCACTAATCCCATCCACCCTCATAGCCTAATCACCTCCTATGGACCCCACCTTTTAATATTATCACCTTGGGGGTTAAGTTTCCATGTATAAATTCAAACACGCATTCAAACCACAGTTCAAGGGAAATGAATTCATCTCCTTTGCTGAATTTGAACATAATAAAAATCACAATAAATTTTTTATTCTTCATACCTACAAGAGACTCTCTGAAAGACAAGTGTGGACCAGTATTCCAAAGTCCAGATGTTTTCTAAAGCTTAATGTATCTGTATATGTATTCAATATAACTTACTTGATCCCATTTCATGTTCCTTTTCATAGATTTGGATATGTGAATTAACATATATTCACTCCTGGTGAGACTAGCAGCATATGATATAAAATATCACAAAATAGCAAATGGTTAAGCCAAGTTCTTTTTTCTTTCTCCATTCCTGTATAATCTAGGGCACCCAGTTGATGGGGCAAAAGGAAAATTTTAAGATGAAGTTTTAAGTTGAAATTGGATAGGTTAAAAAAAATGTATTCACATTTTTCTGCCTACCTCAAGGGAAATGTACTAACTGAGGATCACATTGAAATGGAGGTGTGTTCAGACACTTCCTGAGTTTTTATATTTAACTTCCCTTAGACTCAAAGCAAGAACACAGGGAGCCCACCTCCATTTCACATCCTGTTAGCACATTTTATAGGGGAGGGAAGAGATGATTGAATAGTTAGAATCTGTACAGTTCTAATTATGTGGGATGCTGAAATAAGATTAGCAAGAATTGAAATGCTGAAAAGCAAACAATATCCACAGAAATGGGGTTAAGGAAAGTCTTGGCATTATTTAAGAGGATAAATCTCTTTCCAACTAGCATATTATAACAAGAATATTTAAGTTTAGTACATATTATAGAGCAAACTGAGGCTGTCTCTCTTTTGTTAAGGTATAGATCTTTAACCTTTTTTGAACTGAAGAACTTCAAGGGTGAAAAACAAGCACCCCTGAAGGGTGAGGGTTCACACATGTTCTAGAATAATGAGCAGTTAATAACTGCAATGTCATCTATAGGAGAAATATGTCACTATTCCATTTAGACACATTCAGGGCCCCTCTGCTTGCAGATCACCTCACTTTGAAGTTTTAAATACATCCAGTATTAACATATGATAAAGGAAATCATGGATTAGATAAACCCAAACATTTTAACAGATATATAAATACCGATGTGAACAGTATCATCTTTGAACAATACAATTAATATGACTGACTTCCATAAAAAATTTATTCACTTGGCTCTTTGACACAGTACCTGCTTTTACCCTCCCCAAATATTATTGAACTGCCAAGTTGTATTTGGCTAAAAGCTTTGGGCTATTTAAATGAAATTACACTTAAAACTACTTACAACGTCAGAGGACATCTTCTCAGATTTTGGCAAGATCTTTGCCATTTGTTCAATTAACGCACTGATGATCTGAAAGTAAATCTTGTGCTGGGAAGAGAAAGTTACATAATGTCCATCTATGTGACAAGCATCTGAACTGGTATTCACTAAGTCTGAGAATCTAGTCAAAGTTATGATGAATACAGGGCTTACCTGGTGAGAAGGGGGTGGTGGCTTAAGAATTCAACAACTTTAGGTCGGCTGAATCCATAGGTAGATCAGATATTCATATAACACAGTACTCTCAGGTATCCCAAGAGCAGAGTCAGGACTGCGCTCGGTGGCTCATGCCTGTAATCCCAGAAATTTGGGAGGCCAAGGTGGGTAAATCACTTGAGGCCAGTAGTTTGAGACCAGTCTGGCCAACATAGGGAAAGCCCGTCTCTACTAAAAACACAAAAAGTTAGCCAGGTGTGGTGGTGCAAGCCTGTAATCCTAGCTACTTGGGAGGCTGAGGCAGGAGAATCACTTGAACCTGGGAGGTAGATGTTGCAGCGAGCCAAGACTGCGCCATTGCACTCCAGCCGGGCTGACAGAGTGGGATTCTGTTTCAAGAAAAAAAAAAAAGTTGAACTGAGTCTGAGAGTTGATGCCTTCTTATATTTTGCATGTTGCTTGCTTGCTGCACCCAGCCCTGCAGGAATTTTAAGCATTTTGATACTTTCAGTCACATTTGATGTTAGGGTGGATATGATACAGGAAGGCAGTATTTTCCAAAGTGTAGTTTAAGGTCCACTTAAATCAGGAGTATCTGAAAAACCTGGAAAAACTGGGATTTCTATACTCTTTTACTCAGAGACTGAGGCTTGATTAATCTGCATTTATACCATCTATTTTGGGTGATTCCAGTGCATTTTAAAGTAGATCCTCCAGTATTTTCTGCATAATTGGATGATTGATTGAGCGAATAAACAGAATGTAAGTGGAGACTCCGGCAGTTGTTTAAAAATGATCTTGTACTGGCCAGGTGCGGTGGCTCACACCTGTAATCCCAGCACTTTGAGAGGCCAAGGCGGGCAAATCACGAGGTCAGGAGATCGAGACCACCCTGGCTAACACAGTGAAACCCCATCTCTACTAAAAATACAAAACAAAATCAGCTGGGCGTAATGACAGGCACCTGTGGTCCCAGCTACTCGGGAGGGTGAGGCAGGAGAATGGCGTGAACCTGGGAGATGGAGCTTGCGGTGAGCCGAGATCATGCCACTGCACTCTAGCCTGGGTGACAGAGCAAGACTCTGTGACAAAAAAAAAAAAATTACCTTGTACTCCACATTTTTCTTGAACTAAAAAAGAAACCAACTGGAAAGAAGAATGTCTGCATATGAATTTACTCATTCATGTAACTTACCATGTTGCTTTTTCTAATAGAATATATTCTAATAACTTCAAATAATTTTACATAGAAACATTGAATTTATTCTGAAGTATTTAATGGTAGGTAACTGCAAATACAGGCAGGTAAAGTAAAAATAAATAATTGAGTTTCTTAAACTTTTCTGAATTTACAGTTCTTAATTTTTGGTCCCCAATATTTTACCAACCCATTCATCCAGAACGCTACTAAGTTAGCACAATATATACTCTTAAAACAGAATATCTTTAAAGATGTCCCCTAAAACAGGAGCAAAAACAAAATACAAGTTTTATACTATTCCACAGAAATCATGGGATTTGCATATTCCCTTGAGGGAAAGGTTATCTTTTCAAAAGGTTATCTTTTGAATCAACCTAAACAGAAGAAATACTTCTATTTAAGAAGCTGGAATAATGATAAGAACTGCTGTTAGACTTCTAATTGTAGAAACACCTAAATTTCTAGTTTACAAGTTGTCCTGTTCCTGCTATGAAAGGATGTTTTATACTTTTCAGTCTTGAATTCATGTTTGTTTCTTATGTAATATACAGCTCTCTTGGATCCAGCAAAGCCTTACTTGATAGATACTCTGTTATCCCATTTATTGCAGCAATGATTATGATATGAAGATACATTTTGGTGCTAACAAAATCATGTTTTGGCTCAATAGCTAAAGAGGCAGAACAGAATGGCCCACCAAGGTACAGTTTTTGAGAAAATACTGCAGTAGAATCATCAGCTAGGGAAAAAGAGATTGTTTATGTGTTAGTTGAACATTGATTATAGTACTTTGGGGGATTATTGAATGGTGTTTTGGAATTTGAGGGTTTTATGAATATGGCAAAAGCTTTTTTGCCTCTTCTAGGAACAAAAAAACTACTTTTAGGGTACAGATTCTAAGAAAGGATGAATATTCTGTCTTTCATACCCAATTACTAGCACCAGGTCTCAGTCTCACAAGATTTGACTCTTTTCCTACAAGTAAAATGAGAAGACAAATGAGGTGATCAAAATGTAGACTGATGTGATCAAGAAAGTAGAGATTGTGGACCGAGCACAATGGCTCACACCTGTAATCCCAGCACTTTGGGAGGCCGAGGCGGGCAGATCACAAGTTCAGGAGATCGAGACCATCCCGGCTAACACAGCGAAACCCCGTCTCTAGTAAAAATACAAAAAATTAGCTGGGCTTGTTGGTGGGCACCTGTAGTCCCAGCTACTCGGGAGGCTGAGGCAGGAGCATTGCTTGAACCTGGGGAGGCGGAGGTTGCAGTGAGCTGAGATCGTGCCACTGCACTCCAGCCTAGGCAACAGAGTGAGACTCCGTCTAAAAAAAAAGTAGAGAATGCAAACACGATAAACTACAAACAATGGAAATATGAGTTTAATGTACACAAGAAATAAGGAAATATTACAGGGAACATTAATAAAATAGGCTTCTGATTCTTTGAGGGTATTCCTCTAGCTAGCCTCTTTGGTAAGGTTAAAATATGAAACAGTGTTTTCCAAAGTGGTGCGTTGGACAATTTGTACAAAAATCAGCCAGATAACTTGTTTAAAGCAATTTCATCAGAAATGCATTCCTCTCTATCTCTCAACTCTGCTCTATTATGTTGGCATCATCTTCAGGCAGGTTCTCTTTTGAGATATTTATAGGCAGCTCCAAGTTTCCAGGCTCCTCACAGCTAGCAAAACATGAGCTCTTCTATTCCAGACTTTACTAAGATTATATCCTATTGGCTTGTGTCACATCGCTGATTCCTGAACCAGTCATTGTGGAAACATGAAATAGGCTGTTTGACCAGTCCTGGGTCATTTGCCTAACTATGGTGACAAAACATCTGGTGAGTTCATTTAAACCTTAAGAACTAAGAATATAGGACGGGTGGTTGCCCTTTGAAATCAAGCTATAGCTACCAACAAATGAAATAAAAGCTACTAGCCTGACAAAAACCAAGCCTTCTATGGGATACTTTATATATGCTCATGTATTTATGGTATAAATGAAAGTAAAGCTCCCAGGAAGGACTCTTAAAATTCTTAATGACGCTCATCATTTTTGTCCTTGCTCTGTCTTTCTTTGTCTCATATATTTCCACACCAGACTGACTCTCATTCTTTTCCCTATATAGCTTAGTCTTCCCTCCATCTGCCCATGGAGTAAAGATGTTTTCCTGGAAAGCAGACTAAGAACATACAACAAACTGTTAAGGATGTCATGTGAGTTTGGAATTGCATTCAGCTGCTAAAGCAGAGACCTGCAATAACAATTGCTTGAGCAAGATAAAGTTGTATTTTATTTTATTTTATTTCATTAAGGAAATCCAGAAGAGCTAGGCGGACCAAAGTTGGCATAGAAAATCTCACCCCAGGCCCTTTCCATCTTCCTGTCCCACCATCATTAACACATGACTTTCGTTTTCAAGTTTGAATTCCTAAACTCAACCAAAAAAAGGCAGAAGCAGCTCCAGTTATCACATCACCATTATAGGAAGGAAGAATAGAAGAGTGGGAGGATAAACAGGAAACATCTCTGTGCCAAGGTGATTCCTTTATAAAATTTTCATGGAGTCCTTACCAAACGACTTCTGCTTACATTACATTAGTGATTTTTATTTGCAGAAGAGGCTGGGACTTGCAGTTTTGTTTTGTGTAGATCATGCTACTTCCCTACCCCATTTCCACAATTCAAGCAACTGTTACTAAGGAAGAAATGGAGAACAACAACTGTTACTAAGGAAGAAATGGAGAAATGGACAACTTTTTTACCACAGTGGTGATATTAGTGATATCAGTGATGGAATTATGGAAGACCTCTCCCATATTATATATTTCTGCAATGTTTGAATTTTCACAGTATTTTGATAAACATGAAGACAAATAAAGACAGGGAATCTGTGGAATACAATGTAGGTTACGTCTACAGTAGGGGTGTCACAATACTGGAATACAGATTATATTATCACATGTTGACCATATGCTGGCTATTCTTCCATTATTCCCTTTTTATCTATTCTTATTGCCTTCTCTAGTACCCAC
Organism: Homo sapiens; assembly: GCF_000001405.40. Classification (NCBI taxonomy): domain Eukaryota; kingdom Metazoa; phylum Chordata; class Mammalia; order Primates; family Hominidae; genus Homo; species Homo sapiens. The sequence goes on from NC_000005.10 coordinate 163,016,140, forward strand.
TAAAAAAACATATTTAAGCTCAATTCTTTCATTATTCATTATTGTGACCAGTATATAACAAACAACTGACTATCATTATTTAGAGGTGATGCATGAAGGTTAAAAAATGGTGTGTAGGCGAAAAGCACAAGTTTTCAAATCAGTAAACATATTAATATTGATTAACATACTGTGCTACTCTGGCAGGTCACTTTACCATTCTGCTCCTCAGAGACATCCCTTCTAAAAATAAATGAGGTATTCTGTATTACTGATTAGGCAGTGTTTTTTTTTTTTCAATTTAAATCTATCACAGTCCCCAAGGAAAGCTAGTAATATGTGGATTCTAGAGCCTCATCATCAAAAACTTTCATCCAGTAGTCTGTGGTGAGCTAATGAATCTACATTTTTGCCAAGCAATGGCAGGTGATTTTTGAGAAAGGTATCAGAGGATTATATCTTGAAAACACTAGTAAGATATCTTCAAATTCTTTCAACTTAATGAGACACACAGAATTTGTCTTTTTGTGTGTGTGTTTTGTTTTGGTTTGGTTTTTTGCAACAAGGTCTCACTCTGTCACCCAGGCTGAAGTGCAGTGGCATGATCATGGCTCACTGAAGCCTTGACCTCCCCACTCAATCAATCCTCCCACCTCAGCCTCCCAAGTAGCTGAAACTACAGGCACACAACACCACACTTGGCTAATTTTTGTATTTTTCACAGAGATGGGGTCTCACTATGTTGCCGAGGCCAGTCTTGAATTCCTGAACTCAAGAGATCCAACCGCCTTGGCCTCCCAAAGTGTTGGATTACAGATACGAGTCAGTGCACCCGGCCAAGAATTTGATTTCTGCTTATAAAATATTTTAATTTTTAAAGCCAGTGCATGAACAAAACTTTCATACCTATAGCTAAATTGGACATGAAGATATCTTCTCTCAATAAGTCCAATGAAATCAATTTTTCTTCCAACATTGGAATTTTCCTCTTTCTCTCCCTCTTTTTCTCTTTTCTTCCCTTTCTCGTTCTCTTGCTCCAGCTGAATCTGCAAAAGCTAAATGTCTACATGACGAGATTCACCTGTCTTGTCCATGCGTTCTTAAGATTCTGCAATGTTAAAACTCAAACTATAGAGCAATTCATTATTTTTAAAGAAACTTTCCAGGAAAAATGTTGATGAGGCCTCTCACAAGTTAAAATGAAAATCAATTTGGTTTTAATCTCATCCAGCTTTGATTGGACAATAAACATTTGGGAGTAATTTAATGAATAAAAGTGCTCATATTTTAGAAGGTAATGGCACCATAAAATAGAGCCACTAAACTGCAAATAGACAACATGTATTGCCAATTTCTCCAAGGGGAGAGGTTTATTAACCCACGTTCCAGACAGAGTGGTAACACTGTCTTGTAATTGGAAGCTCTGCCCTTTAGGTCTTTGCTACCAAATAACCTGAAGAAGCCACTCTTTAGTATAACAACACGAGTACCTTAGTTCCCCAACCAGCTATTAATTTCACTTCATTGGATCTTAAAGCACATTTTTAACCTGAGTCCACTAAATTAGTCATGTGGGGTTTTTTGCTCAATGGAGGCAAAAGAAATTCTTATTAATTTGAGGGAATAGTGGAACATAATAAAATATGGTTAAACAGCCATTCTCTTGACATAAACATCCATTTAATGAAGAACAAAATGTAGACTCATTCATTTAGTTCTAACAATCCTTGTAGTCCCAATTGCTATATTCAGTAACGCTTTCCAGACTGTTCCTAGTTCTTCTACATTTGCCTTTTTTTCAACTTATTTTAATTGGAAAGTTGCTAACATCACCCATTTTTAATATGGTAAATTGGATATCCACAGAAATGATGTCATTTTAAAAGCAAGAGAGGCACAGGAAAGCATACTCTTCCTGAGACTTCTACTGGGCAGTGCATCCTTGCAATGATAGTGCCGGGCAAGAAAATATTTTAAATTTTTGTTTATTTGTAGTTTGTAGTTTGTTTTTTACTGCTATCCTAGCATTGATTCCTTCTTTTTTTAGTTAAAAGTTCCTGATTCTTCTTTGTATATAAATATAGTGGGACAATCAGTCAAGGTCCCCCACAACTTCTGGGCAAGGGTGGGCAGGAGGCCAGATGTTCTCTTCCTGGAACTTCAATCTTAAGCAGAAGGACTCACAGATAAAAAGAAACTTGGACTCACTCATCTACCAGTAGTGCCGTATTAAAAGTCATCTATTTTTATAATAATTGTACTATGAAGACACATGCACAAGTATGTTTATTGCAGCACTATTTACAATAGCAAAGACTTGGAGCCAACACAAATGCCCATCAATGATGGACTGGATAAAGAAAAAGTGGCACATATATACAATGGAATTCTATGCAGCTATAAAAAAGAATGAGTTCATGTCCTTTGCAGGGACATGGATGAAGCTGGAAGCCATCATTCTCAGCAAATAAATACAGGAACAGAAATCCAAACACCACATGTTCTCACTCATAAGTGGGAGTTGAACAATGAGAACACATGGACACAGGGAGGGGAACATCACACACTGGGGCCTGTCAGTGGGTGGGGGGCAAGGGGAGGGAGAACATTAGGACAAATACCTAATGCATGCAGGGCTTAAAACCTAGATGGTGGGTTGATAGGTGCAGTAAACCACCATGGCACATGTATACCTATGCAACAAACCTGCACGTTCTGCACATATATCCCAGAACTTAAAGTAAAAGTTTTTTAAGTCCATTTTTTAACTGAATTTTCAGAGTGATTTTGGTCATTTCTAAACTTTACATCTTTATATTTCTGTTCAATTCTCTGAACTATTCCATATCCTTCCAACAAATCTCTGCTTTGCTTAGGCTTATCAGAGCCAGTTTGTTTTGTTTTGCTTTGTTTTGTTTTGTTTTGTTTTGCTTGCAACTAAAGAACCATACTGATATGAAAAATAAAGGCAAAATGTTATAATAGCAAAAGTCCCCAAAGTCCTTTTACCTCCCTTAGTGCTTCTAAAGCAAATGATGGAAAGGTAATCCTCCTTGATTCTTGAAAGAAAAACGTAGGTTTTCTCTACAGAAAAAGTATACATATCTCTAAACACTTAAAACTCAGAGCTTCTGTGCTGCAGGTTCATGTCTTGTCACACAGATATTTTTAATGAATTGATTTTAGAAGATGTCTTATGCATAGAAGGAAAATTAAACTTTGAACAAATCTGCTGCTGTTTCTGAATTAGAATTTCTCATTTTTGCATAAGGGACTTTTCATGCTGAAAAGAATTAGGTATCCTGACCTCAGAATCACAATGGGAAATAAGAGAAGAAAAGATTCTCAGTGGAAATAACTTCCCTCTAACTCAGGTAGCTTCAATCTTTACCACTCTTTATTATCACTTTTGGCACTTTGTAGAGAGACAGGAACATAAGTCTTTTCCCTAAATGGTTCTTGTCTTTGCTCTTCTGCCTCTATCAGCTCAAGATAATAATTATTGGGAAATTAAAAGTGGCATTGGTTGAAGGTTACATCCTTTGAGAAAGTGGAGTCAGAAATTCTTTCTTGCTTAGTGTATCAAAATGTTTGGGCAGTATTACCAAAGAATAAGAAGGAACCACCCACGAAGAGCAGAGGATAATATTTAGAGAAAAAAAAATAGAATGTTATCCACGTAAATTTATATTGTTTCCCTTTACGACACATTCTTTCTTCCAACCTTCAATTTCATGCACTTACAATAAAAATTATTTGCAGTTTATCTCTACAGAAAGAAATTAATTGAAAGCTCAAAATAATCTGTAAAGATTGTCATTTATCAATGTTCTGAAGGGCTTTTAAAGCATCTAACAACAAAAGTGGTTTCTTTGGTAAATAAAGAGGTCTCTAATGGTATTTGACAGTAATGACTTACATTTTACTTACTTAGCTGCACATTTGATTACCCATATCCAAACATGAAATTGGTATTATTTCTTTCACCATATCTCAAAGCCTTGAAATAGGATATAAAGTGAGAAATGTCAAGGGGCAAAATATAAATAAATGAGCAATAAACTGCTTTCCTGTAAAAGGACCTTAGGTATGCTCCATGGAAGAAATAAAGAAATGGAATCAATTTGAATTATGCACAGGTGAGAAAATAATGGTTGCTTTCTTTTGCATTTTGGAAGCGTAGCATCATGAAGTAGTCAAGCACTTCTTGTTTTATTTTTAAATGATGAACTATTTTCACATAGAAAATAGCATATTTAAAGTTTAAATTTGTTAAGTGTGTAGCTTAAAGAATGACAAAACAATGACCTGGCACCTGGAAACCAGCTTAAGGAATAGATCCTTACAGATACCTTCTGAAGGCTTCTTCATGCTTCTACCTGACCATAATGCCTCCCTACTCCTGAAGGGTAACCGCTATACTAAATTCCTTTAATCATCATTTGCTTTTCCTTAGTCTTGTCTACAAATCGATGTGTCCCTAAGTCAACAACCTGTCCAGGCATGTTTTTAAGGTTTAGATAAATGGGCAAATCATCAGGTCATTTTTTCTTCAGTACTATGTTTTTGAGATCTATCTATGTTTCACCATTAAATAGGAAAACACTGCATGCATAAACTAAAATTAATTTTTTTCCATTTTCCAATTGATTGACATTAGGGTTGTTTCTTTTTTGAGTTGTTTCCTCTATTGAGAGAAATGCTGCTATATATATGCATATATTTTCACTTAGACATGTGGAAGACTTTCTCCAGGATACATGTTTGGGTCTAGAATTTTGGATTCTTAAGGGACATGCATCTATCTTTTTGACTAGATAATATCACCTTGCTTTCTCAAGTGGTTATATACTTTCACCATGCGAGTATGAGTTCCTGTTGTTCCACATCCTTGCCAACAACTTTACCACTGTGGTAACTGTAAAATGATGTCATATTTAGGTTATAATTTACATCCTTCTGCTTTCTATTGATATTAGGCTTTAAAAATATACTTACTGGACATTTATATTTCCTTTTCTGTGAAACGCTTGTTATAATTTGATTATTTATTTGTCCTTTTATTGATTTCTACGACTCTTTTATATGGTCTGGATACTATTCCTATGTCAGTAATAAGTATTATAAAAATCTCTTGGGTTTTGGTTTATATTTTCATAATTTATGGTATCTTTTGAAAAATGTAAATTCTTGTAATCCCAGCATTTTGGGAGGCCAAGGCAGGTGGATCACGAGGTCAGGAGTCGAGACCAGCCTGGCCAACATGGTGAAACCCCGTCTCTACTAAAGATACAAAAAATTAGGCAGGCGTGGTGGTGAACGCCTGTAATACCAGCTACTCAGGAGGCTGAGGCAGGAAAATCGCTTGAAGTCAAGAGGCGGCGGTTGCACTGAGCCGAGATCACGCCATTGCACTCCAGCCTGGGTGACAAGGAAAGACTCTGTCTCAAAAAAAATGTAAATTCTTACTTTTAATATAAAGTGATTTTCTCCTTTACGATTTCAGATTTTGTGCCTTGTTTGAGAATATAATAGAGATAATTTTCTCTTAAAACATAAAAGTATATTTTTCATATTTAATATCACTGAGAGCTGATATTTATGTGTGTATAAGTGTGGAGATGAAGGAGGATTCAATTTTACATCTTTCCATGTTAACAAGCATGTGTCTTAGAACTCTTTATTGCTAAGCTCATCTTTTCTCCAGTTATCTCTATAGCACCTTTGTATATGTTGTTTTCATTATATGTATATGTATAACATATTTGGCTATATGATAAATTTCTAGGATTTCTAGAGGTTATAATTAAATTTTTAGGATTCCTAACATTCTATGCATTGGATTTTTTGTGTGTGCCTGCTGTTGCCTCTACCTGGAAGCTCTTTGCTTGACTCACTTCTCCCCCATGTTGAGTCTTTGCTCAAACTGGACTTTCGTGACAATTTTAACCTAAAGTATTTCCCAGTGTCTCACTGCTTTTTTTTTAATCCCTATCACATTTTATTTTTTATATCCTTCACCACTTCTTCATGTTTATATTCACTTCTTTGTTTACTGACTCTATCCTCCACTAGAATGTAGAATCATGAGATCTGAAACCTTGTCTTTTTCATTTCTGCATCTTCAGTGTCTTTGGAATAATACTTGGAAGACAGTAGGCATTTAGTGAAAGTTTAACCAAGGAATAAATGAAGAAATGGATATAAAATTTGCTCTGTCATTTATGAGATTAAGAATCTTATGTAAGTTACTTAATCTTTCTGAATTGTACTTTTTAAATGTTTAGGTAAAGCTTAGAGATAATGAATCTACTATGACTACTGTAGTATCTGGCACACAGAAGGTTCTTTGTAAATGATAGAGATTATTATATACAGTCTCCGCATGAGAAGAAGCAAGATGCAATTTGTCATCAAGAGCACCCCAAAACACAAACACGTGAAAAATAAAATGAGAGTTTTAGACTTTTACTTGATTTTAAAAAATAAAAGAAAGAATAAAAGAAAACCAAAAAGGAAATAAAATAAGAAAGAAAGAAGGAAGGAAGGAAGGAAGGGATGGAGGGAGGGAAGAAGGGAAGGGAGGGAGGGAGAAAGGGAAGGAGAGAAAGAGAGAGAAAGAAGAAAGAAAGAAAGAAAAAGAAAGAAAGGAAAGAAAGAAAAAGCAAAGAAAGAAAGAAGAAAGAAAAAGAAAGAAAAAGAGAAAGAAAGAAAGAAAGAAAGAGAAAGAAAGAAAGAGAAAGAGAAAGAAAGGGAAAGAGAAAGAAAGGGAAAGAGAAAGAAAGGGAAAGAGCCTTCTGAAACTATTTCAAACTAAAGAGAAAATCCATTAGGATATTATAGTGGTATGTTATAGAACCCAGGACTGAAAATAGGGAACTCAGAAATCCTTCCTCTCCCTTTCTCATTTCTGCTTTTCTCTGCAGTGAATTTAGTGGATTTACTTCTTCTCCCTCATTCCGAAAAGGATTCAGTTTGTGTGGCAGCCAACAGCTACAAAGGCTATAGGTTACATATTCAGCCAATCAGAAATATGCTGATCTTTTCTTTTTTATTCCCTAATCCAAATTCTCACGAAAATAATTTATTTGACTGAATTGATTTACCCATATATTTTTCAACAAATCAATTGTGGCCAGAAAGCTAGGATTATATTGAACAAACATGAAAGTTATCTCTAATGCATATATCTATGGGGAGAGCAATTACCTACATAAAAAAGGAAGTAGTCTCCAATAAGTTAAGGGGGGCTGCAAAGATCATAAATAGTCTATTCCAATTATATTTTAAGAAGGAAACCTTAACTAGTGTCTGATCTTGGAGCATTAGCTCAAAAAATAACCCCAGTAGGAAGTTATAGTATAATGAAAAGGTCATTGCTCTGAAAGCTAAAAGATCTTGTTTCCAGTGTCTAGTTAACCAGCAGGAAAAATTCAAAGAGAGTCACTAAGGACAATAGAACCATTACATTAAATACTATTATTTTTGGCTGCCTTAAAGTGCTATTATTCAATCTTTTCAATGATGGGTTAAACTTCAGAATATTTTAACAAACATAAATAATTTTTGTCTTGACTTCTTACAATAATCCATGTGGGGTTTTCTAGACCTCTTATCTAATGCTGTAATTTTGTGCTTCTACAGTGGATGACTAGGTTCAAACATAAATCACTTGTTTAAAGAGACACTAAGAAAGAAAATCTATTTTTTCTCCAAAGTTAAAGATAGATATTGATACTGACTTTCACATCACAAAACTCTTATTTTACCTGATAAACTGCAAGGCTCCAAAAAGACAATAATCTGAGAAGGACATACTTTTCTTCCTTCATTTCACCTAACATTCCTTGGGAGGGGTCACTCCCACGGTGACAGCTACTGGCAAACTTTAACTTTATCATCGCCAATTAAAGTGTCTCTTCCTCCTGACAGTCAGTATCCATTTCATTCTAGATGTGCAATTTGGCCTCTTTCTGTCATGAATCTCCTCTCCTAGATGGCATTTTGAGAAAACAGGCACTTGCTTGATTTCTCTCATATCATGGGAAGTTTCAACACACTGGGATGTCACCCATATAGTACTAATTACTTTTACCTTTGCAGTCCTCAAATTAGACAGGCACTATCCACAAGCCAATGATGCACAAGATTAAAAAGATGATATTTTGCAAATGATGCAGACAGCAAATCTATTAATGTAAAAATGATGTGTTCATGTTCGCAATTTATTATAGTAATATAGGCCAGATTCATCACACACAAACACACACACACACACACGCACACAAATATAAACATATAGAGAGAGAGACAGAGAGAGCGAGAGAGCGAGAGGAAGGGAGCTAAGGCTGGTCTTTCTAAACATTTACTAGATTTCAAGTGTTCAGCTGGGTTGTTTAAGTAGTTTCTCTTATTTAACCCTGCAACAAAATCTCCATTTTTAAAATAAGGAAAAGGAGCTTTGGAGAATTGAAAAAGTTTTCTCAAAATTTCACACACAAAAAAGTATAATTTAATGGAGTATTTGCAAACTTTGCTGCTCACCACAGCCAAGCAGGTAAAATAAATGAATAAATTAGGTGTGGCACTTGTAGATTAAACTAAAAGAAATGTTCTTTGCTTCTTCAAGTAAGAGTTCACTCTCTCTTGTTACTTGAAAAGTTTCACCCTCTAGATTAATCCTTCATTTTCCCAAGTACAAATAATTATATCTCTATTATAAGAAAAGCAACGATGTGAAATAAGTGACCATTATTTACTAACACAGCTTTGGAGTCAGGGCAACACTATAGAAGGATGGAAATTGCAGAAAATTGTAGAAGGCACGTCATGATTAAATGGCGCAGCCATTGTACCTCTCCAGCTGATAGTTCCCATGGGAATGCAGACCTAGGGTGGCCAGACCTCGTTTTTTAAGTGAAGATGCAAGTTCGGATTTTTACATGAAATTATCCAATGTTTATATGCTGGCTCGAACATTTTAAAAACACAATGCATGGGCCAAATAAAATACACATGGATCAGCACTTTTCGAAGATGTAAGGGAGTAAAAGTGAAAACATGGTATGATGTACACATAGGTTTGAAAACTACCGGTGCCCCATACTAACTTGTACACTTTGGATTTGTTTCTCTATTCTTAGTCTCCTCATTGGTAAAATAATAGACTCATTAAGAGGATTACATGAGATATTCATGGGACTAATCACAATTTAAGATGGTCAAAGCAAATATATGGCAGGACAAACTAGATATTTGCAAATATTTATGTCAAGTGAATGAGTCATGATTTAAACTGATGTCTGCCTCACCTCAAAGTCCATGCTTTTTCTACTACATTACCATTCCCTTTAACAGGCTGAGGATTCTACACAATATTTGACAGATCTCTTCTAGTTTGTCCTGTCATATATTTGTTTTGACCATCCTAAAATTGTGATTAGTCCCATAAATTTCCCTCAGCTAGCACACTCAGGACGTGAAGATCAGTTTTGGTTACCAATAATAGAAAACCTAACTCAAATTGCCTTAAAATATAAGGAGATTTTATTAACTCACATAAAGCTCAGGCTTTAATTGTGTCACAAAATTTGTGTAGTTGTGTGTATCTGTGTGTGTGCGTGCTTCTCACATCTCACTCTGCCTTCCAAGATATTTACATCTTCCTAAAACTGATTTATTTTAACATCTCAAATGACTGCTAATACCTAGGGCTCCCTGTTTCCTCATTCATATTTAGCAGGGAAAGAGGTCATTTTTGCTCCAGAATTCCCAGCAAACTGAATTTCACTCTGAATGAGTGTAGGTACCATGGGAATGGGATAGCAAGTCCTGAACCACAGTGTGTGACCAATGAAATGAAATGCTGTGATTGGCTTGGCCTAGGTTCCAGCCCCACTCCAGCACTAGATGCCCAAGTGGAAACTGGTGACCATTTGGAAAAGGAACTGAGGAGAGAGTTGGCAAAGAAGATATCAACAAATGTCCATCTACACTGATGTTTTAATAAGGGTTCTGCAGAGACACAGAACTGATAGGATAGGTAGAGAGAAATGCTAAAAGGGATTTATCAGGAGAATTGGCTGGTTTGATTATGGAGGCTGGGAATTCCCATCATAGGCCACCTGCAAACTGGAGAACCAAGAAAGCTGGTAACGCAGCTCAGTCCATGTCCAAAAGCCTCAGAACCAAGGAAGTTGATGGTATAACTCTCAGTCCAAGGCTGAGACTCAAGAGCCCAGTGAGATTGCTGGGGGGAGTCTTAGAGTCTGAAGGCCAGGGATCCTAATTTTCTGATGTCCAAGGTCAGGAGAAGGACACCTCAGCTCCAAAAAGAAAGGGAAATAATTAACCCTTCCTTTGCCTTTTTGTTCCATCGGGGACCCCAGCTGATTAGATGGTGCCACACACATTGAGGGTGGATCTTCCACACTCAATCCACTGATTCACAGGCCAATCTCCTCTGGAAACACCCTCACAGACACAGCTGGAGCAGCCCTGTCATTGAAATCCAAAACAAACCACCTGGGCTTCCCTTTCAGCAGAAAAGTTATGAGCCCAGGCCAAGCAAAGCACTGAGAATAAATAATGCTTTATCTGCTATCTGGATATCCCTTAATCCAGTCAGGTTGATACCCCAAATCAGCCACCACAAGTCCATTCCTTGTCAACTTGACACCCATACTCATGTCTTTAAATCATACTTAGTCTCTGCATAAATGAAATAAAAAGGTTGTAGTTCCACTTAACATGATATAACTATTCTGTGTACAACCAAAAATGTATTAATCCCTTCCCTAGAAGAGGAGGTTAAGTCCTTGAGTGATGTTTACTCTTTTCCTCATATTCCATAACTTAAATATTATGAGGTAAAAATGAATAATTGCTAATTAATGATATAAATTCAATTTTGAAATTTTGTTTGTTTGGAGGGCTGAAGGGTAATACAATCAGTATTGTATTACCAGGTGCTATGGAAATAGCCATGGACCTTACATTAAATAATGATGCTCTTTTATTTATTTATTTATTTATTTATTTATTTATTTATTTATTTATGAGACGGAGTTTCACTCTTGTTGCCCAGGCTGGAGTGCAATGGCACAACCTCGGCTCACAGCAACCTCTGCCTCTCGAATTCAAGCAATTCTCCTGTCTCAGCCTCCCGAGTAGCTGGGATTACAGGCATGTGCCACCACACATGGCTAATTTTGTATTTCTAGTAGGGACAGCGTTTCTCCATGTTGGTAAGGGTGGTCTCGAGCTCCCGACCTCAGGTGATCCACCTGCCTTGGCCTCCCAAAGTGCTGGGATTATAGGCGTGAGCCACCGTGCCTGGCCAATGACACTCTTTAATCCAAGAGTTACTTAGTGTAATAAACTCTTACATCTTAAGAACTACAAGACAGTTTAGAAATCTGTAAATACAGGGCTGGGTGCAGTGGCTCACACCTGTAATCCCAGCACTTTGGGAGGCCGAGGCAGGGGGATCATGAGGTCAAGAGATCCAAACCATCCTGGCCAACATGGTGAAGCCCCGTCTCTACTAAAAATACAGAAAAAAAAAAATTAGCTGGGCGTGGTGGCAGGCGCCTGCAGTTCCAGCTACTTAGGAGGCTGAGGCAGGAGAATCACTTGAACCCAGGAGGTGGAGGTTGCAGTGAGCCGAGACTGTGCCACTGCACTCCAGACTGGCAACAGAGCAAGACTCTGTCAAAAAAAAAAAAAAAGAAAGAAATCAGTAGATACAACCTACTTATTTTGATAGATTAATAAAATGGTTCCAGAAGAGCATAAATGGCACGCTTAATATCAAGTTTAAAAGTTATTTGTAAATGGAATCTGTATTTCTCTGCTTTTATTTCTGTTTCTTGGAGGAGCAGCCTAGGACAAATGTACAACACAAATCTCAAATCTCTTTTCAATGACAATTTAGACTGATAAAACATAAAGTCATTTTTTTCAGACTTTATTTCTTAGAGCAGTTTTAAGTTCACAGCAAAATTAAGAGAAAGGTACAGGCTGGGCGCGGTGGGTCATGCCTGTAATCCCAGCACTTTGGGAGGCCTAGGTGAGCAGATCACGAGGTCAGGAGATCGAGACCATACTGGCTAACACGGTGAAACCCCGTCTCTACTAACAATACAAAAAAATCAGCTGAGTGTGGTGGTGGGCGCCTGTAGTCCCAGCTACTCGGTAGGCTGAGGCAGGAGAATGGCGTGAATCCGGGAGGTGGAGCTTGCAGTGAGCCGAGATCGTGCCACTGCACTCCAGCCTGGGCGACAGAGCAAGACTCCGTCTCAAAAAAAAAAAAAAAGAGAAAGGTACAGAGATTTCCAGTAGCCTCTCTCATTACCAACATCGCTCAACAGTGGTACATTTGTTATAACTGGTGAACCTACATTAACACGTTATCACCCAAAATCCATAGTTTACATTAGGGTTTATTCCTGGTGTTAAGTTCACTCCTGGTGTTGAGTTCACTCATATTCTATGAGTTTGGACAGATGTATAATGATATGTATTTGTTATTATGACATCGAAGAGTATTTTCACTGCCCTAAAAATCCATGTTCCATCTATTCAGTTCTCTCCTCATCCCCCACCTCCTGTGAACCACTGTTCTTTTTACTGTCTCCATAGTTTTGCCGTGTCTTGAATGTAATATAGTTGAAATTATTACATATATAGCCTTCTCAGATACACCCTTTCACTCACCTATATTCATTTAAGTTTCCTCCGTGTCTCTTCATGCTTGATAGCTCTTTTTTCAGTGCTGAACAATATGGATGTACCACAGTTTACTTATTCATTCACCTACTTAAGGACATCTTGGTTGCTTTCAAGTTTTAACAATTATGAATAAAGCTGCTATAAACACCTGCATGCAGGACTTTGTGTGAAAATATGTTTCCAATTCCTTTGGGTAAATAACAAGAAGAATAACTGCTGAGTCAAATGGTATGTTTAGTTTGATGAGAAATCACCAAGCTGTCTTTCAAAGTGGCTGTACTATTTTTCATTCCTACCAGCTCTGATTATATGTTCCTGTTGCTTTACATTTTTGTCAGCATTTGGTGTGTTAGTATTCCAGATTTTGACCATCCTAATAGGTATATACTGGTGTCCTGTTGTTTTAACTTGCAGTTCCCAATGGCATATGATTATGTGCATATTTTCATATGCTTATTTGCCATCTGTATACCTTCTTTGATGAGGTGTCTGTTAAGGTCTTTGGCCAATTTTTAAATCAGGTTGTTTTCTTATTTTAAAAGTTCTTATTTTTAAAGTTATTTTAAGGTTTTAAAAGTTCATTGTATATTTTGGATAACAGTCCTTTATCATAAATGTCTTTTGCAGATATTTTCTCCCAGTCAGTGACTTGTCTTATCATTCTCTTGACATTGCCTTTCACAGAGCAGAAGTTTTTATTCTTAATGAAGTCCATCTTATCAATTATTTCTTTCAGATACTCTGCTTTTGGTGTTGTATCTAAAAAGGCATCACCATACCCAGTGTCATCTAGATTTTCTTCTATGTTATCCTCTAGGAGTTTCACAGTTTCGCATTTTACATCTAGGTATACAATTTATTTTGAGTTAATTTTGGGGAAGGATGTGAAGTCTGTTTCCAGGTTTATTTTTGCATGTTGATGTCCAGTTGCTCCAACACCACTTGTTGAAAGGACTATCTTTGCTTCATTGTATTGTCTTTGCTCCTTTATCAAAAATCAGTTGACTATATTCACATGAGTCCACTAGAGTCATTTTTAAATCAGCCCTACACCCTCTAAGTACTTCTAGTAGAAGCAAATTGATGGATTCTTGTCTGGGCAAAGAAATACATCTGTCTGAATATATGCCATGAACCTAAATAGCTATTTCATTTTGGATGGTTTTTAAGTTCTCCAACCTATAATAGATGAGATGGAGAGAAAAAGAAGAAACTACAAAAAAGAGGAAAGAAAAGGAAAGGAAAGGTAAAGGAAAAAAGAAAGATAACTAATTACTTGGACATTGTGTTGTGTCAAAGACAATTCTTTTTCAAGGTTTTTACATTTAAAAGAAACATTTTAATATTATTGTCTAATTTTTTGTCTGCCAACTTCAATAGCAGAGTATTGCCAACAGAATTGGTAAGTAATGCAATACCAAAAGATATGCTTGTATTAGTCTGTTCTCACACTGCTAATAAAGACACATTTAAGATTGGATTATTTATAAAGGAAAGAGGTTTAATTGACTCACAGTTCCACATGGCTGGGGAGGCCTCACAATCACGGCGGAAGGTGAAGGAGGAGAAAGGCACATCTTATATGGCAGTAGGCAAGAGAGAAAGCATTTACAGGGACACTTCCCTTTATAAAACCATCAGATCTTGTGAGACTTCTTCACTAGCATGAGAATAGCACAGGAGAAACCCACATCCATGATTCAATTACCTCCCACTGGGTCCCTCCCATGACATGTGGGGATTATTACAATTCAAGGTGAGATATGGGTGGGGACACAGAGCCAAACAATATCAATGCTTCACTTGATTGGAAAAACCAAATTCATTAGTATCTACATATCCAAAACTCTTTTGTGTGTTTGTTTAGAGGCAACAACAGTTAAATGATAAACCTGCCCTATACTCCTAACTTTAAATTTAAAACATTGTGTTTTCAGAACTTTCAAAGAGTTTCAAATATTTCTGCCCTCTACAAGTTAAAATCTGTGTAAATCCAAATCAAGAGAAAAAGAAAAAAAATAGCAAATATTTTCTAATGACTTTTCCCAAAACAGAGATTTCTCATTCTCACTATTCTCCCTGCTATTTCCTCACATAAAAAGTTATTATTTATAGCCTAGCCTTTTTAGGGCATAGTTATTCTAATGTCAACATCATCTATGGTGTGGATGGAACTGCTGTGTCAGACAACAGAAAGAAAGGTTGGAAAAAAAGCCAAATTTTCTGTTTAAATTAAAAATTGAAGATTTTAAAAAATTCATTTATCTAAAAATAATAGCCTTTTTGGACTCTTGTGATACTATAAAACATACATTTGTTCTGCATCCATCCCGGTTTCCTGGCATACAACTTCTAAAATCTGTAGAATCGCCAAAGTCATGCCTTTTTGTGTGCTAATGCGTTGGCTGATGGCTGGCAGCCCCTAGATAACTTCAGAATGGAGCTGGGCACCAGAAAGACCAAAGCAGTATGAGAAGGTTGGGACTTTCAGCCCCACCCACAACCTCTGGGGAGGGATTAGGGGTGGGTGGGGGGTTAAGTTAACCAAAGTAGCCAGTGCTTTAATCAATTATGCCTAAGTAATAAAGCTTCCAGAGAAACTGTAAGGACTGGATCTCAATGAGCTTTCAGATAGCCAAATGCATGGAAGTGCCCGGAGAGTGTCACATCCAAGAGGGCATGGGAGCTCCACATCCCTTCCCACATGCCTTGATCTGTGCATCTCTTTGTCTACATTCTTTGTAATATTCTTTATAAGAAACTGGTAAATGTGTTTTCCTGAGCTCTGTTGAGTTCCTCTAGCAAATTAATCAAACTCAAAAAGGTGGTCACCATGGGAACCTCAATTTACAGCTAGTCAGTCAGAAGCACAGGAAAAACAAACTGAGGCTTGCTACTGGCATCTGAAGTTAGGGCAGTCTTGTAGGGACTGAGCTCTCAATCTGTGCAATCTATGCAACCTCCAGGTAGATAGTGTCAGAATTGAATTGAATTAAAGGACACTGAGCAAATTAAAGGACACTGAGCTGGTATCCACTGCAGAATTAATTGCTTGCTGCTGGGGAGAAATCCACACACATCTGGTGTCAGAAGTATTTTGAGAGAGTGTAGTTGAAGAAACTGAGTTTGTTTTTCCTTTTCAACTATATAACTGCCCTCGGATATTCCTAATTCACTGGTAATTAAACATTTGCAGAATGTGTATATGGTTGCACAGCAAATAATCCTTGCACTATGTTTAAGTTTAGTTCAACCAGTTTTCCAAATGCTATTCATCAATGTGTCATGGCACCTATCACTTCAGGGAAAAAATACTTGGCATAGTGTAAAAATTATTTCTTTAACAGATAGTATCAGATTTATTTTTATAGAGGAAAACAAATTTTGAGGAAAACACCTTGATAAGAAAGTGAGTTAGGAGAAAATGCATGTGGTTATAAGTTGGCAAAAGTCAAGACAGTAGAAGAAATAGCTAAAATGTTCTGCACTAAAAATAAATAGAACTCTGATGGTGAGGAAAGTGAGAGAACAAAGAAGAGAGGATGAAGGGCAAGGGGGCCAAGAAACACAACCAGGGAGTCTGGAGCTCAATTTACAGAAATAGCTACAGGACTTCCATAAACAGGAATTTCTTACAGTGAATTTTAAATTGTATGTGTTACTTCACTGCAAAATTCTCCATATTGTCAAAAATTCAGGAAAATCTTGACATAAAATGTTATAAAATAAATGGTTTGATGAAAGTAATGGGAAAAGCCAATTTCTTCATCTGGGTCCATGTGCTGTGAAACAGAGACAGAGACAGAATGGCCAGATGGTCCCAAAACTGACCTAATTTGTCAGAAAGTCTGGCTTAATCATATCAAGAACCTAAAACAGTGGCTGGTGCATAGTAGCTGCTCAATACATATTTGATCAGAATTAATGAATGAATTCATTAGGCATCGGTGATTTTGAGATGCCCCTTGAGAACCATGAACATCTTCTCTCAGGTAGTCATAGTTACTAGGGTATTAAAATGAGTTTTCAAGCAATCTAATTGAAATTATATACATCAATAAAACCTTTGTTAATGTCTAGCTTATATTTACATTAATATTTAACACTTTTGAATATTAAAGTTTTAAGAGTAAACACGACTGTGGGTACTTTTTCAAACCTTAAAGTATCCTATTTTGCTCTCTTTTAAATACCTATTGTACAGAAAATCAAGAGGCTTTCAAAATCACTTTTAAAAATAAAATTCCAAGGCATAATTTACAACTATGGGAATGAAAACAGTTTATAGACACTCGAGTTAAACCAAAATCTTCACTATCCATGCCGATTTCAAAGTATTAAAGTGTTAAGCATGACAAATTGCCTCAAAATGTAGTGCCTTAAAACAATAAATATGTATTGTGCTATGACTTGAATATTTGTCCCCTCCAAAGCTCATAGAAATTTAATCCCCAATATGGCAGTATTGAGTTGTACAGCCTTGAAGAGGTGATTGCATCTTGAGGGCCCTCCCTCTTGAATGGATTGATCTATTCATGGATAATAGGTTAAGGAATTAATGGGTTATGATGGGAAGGGACTGCTGACTTTATAAGAAGTAGAGAATCCTGAGCTACCACCCTCAGCCCTCTCTCCATGTGAGGCCCTGTGCTGCCTCAGGACTCTGAAGACTTTCTACTAGCAAGAAGGCCCTCACCCAATACGGACTTCTCAGCATCTATAACTGCAAGAAATAAATTTCTTTTCTGTATAAATTACCATATTTCAGGTGTTTTATTGTAAGCAACAGATAAATGGACTAAGACATTACTTCACATTTTCTGCGGATGGGATGTGGAGCTACTTAGCCCAGTGATTCTGGCTCAGGGTTTCACACTGCTGTCATGACATCAATTGAAGATACACTTTTATAAAAGTTTGAATGGCGCTGGAGAATCTGCTTAAGATGGCTCATTCACATAGGTGAGAAGTTGGTGCTATCTCTTGGCAGAAGGCCAAGTTTCTTGATGCACAGACCTCTCCATAGCACTGCTTGAGTGTCCTCATGACAAGGGGGCCAACTTCCACCAGAAGAAGTGAATGATCAAAAGAGATGAAGGTGGATGCTCCAATGTCTTCATGAACACTCTTGGAAGTGACACAACATTACTTCTATCGCATTTTATTCATTAGAGGCAAAACACAAAGTCCAGCCCATACTG